>NC_000012.12:76854067-77005582 GCF_000001405.40 Homo sapiens
GCAGAATGAAACCTACCAAACGTTGATCTCAGTTACTTGAGAAGATATGCGTGGCAGAGAGAACTTCTTTATTTGGGACTTTAAAAGGCAAAAATTATTAAGGAACTGTTTCCTGTTGTTCCAGTGGTTGTTAATGGTTTGAGAACCCAGTGGTATTAAACAGGAATATTTTCAAATTGGACTAATACTCTATCCATAATTTTAGTCTGGAGTTCAAGTAACAATATCTTGAACAACTGTATAAAGTAAAGCCGCTAGTTTTCATTCCACCCAAGTATTTTCCTCCTCATTGTCTACTTTTTATCTCTCCTAGTCCTTGCTAGATTGATGTATCATACCTGATATGGATGTCTGAGTCTAGGAGTTTTTAGACATAATTGGAAACAAGTGGTATATACCAGGACAGAAAATCTTAACATCTTGTCAGAAAGTAAAGTGCTTGTTATCAGAGTTTTCTATTAAATATATTTATGTGACTTAAAATAGAAAAAGTAGATTGAGCATTCAGAATATTCTTTGGTCTGTGTCAGCTAAGTCAGAAACTCAAGGAAACCAGGTATGCCTCTTAGAAAACTCTTGCCTTTGAATTGGATATGAATGTTTTACCCAGGTAAATTTTTGCTAAAACTGTCACTCATTTACTAGGACTGACAAATATTTTTAATAGATGGCAATGTTTTTAGATTGTTTCCATTCAAAGCATCAGAAAGTCCCATTGTTGCTGCTGCTGCTTGGATCTGTAGGTTTACAGTTTTCATCAAAATTTGGAAGATTTTCAGTTACTCTTTCTTCAATTATTTTTCCTCCCCTCCTTTCAGGAAACTCCCATTTCACATGTGTTAGGCCACTTGAGATTGTCTTCCAACTCATTGATCGATCCTCCATTGGCTTTTAAGATTCTTTTTCCCAGTGTTTGTTTTAGATAGTTTGTCTTTAAGTTGACTATTGTTGTTTTTTTTTTTTTTTTTTTGCAATGTGTAGTCAATATCATTCAGTTTATTTTCATCTCATTTTGTTTTCACCTACAATGTTTGATTTGGACCTTTTAAAGTATCTTCAATATCTTAACTTTTTGAAAACATGTAGTTCTAATAACTGTTTTAATGTCCTTACCTGCTAACGTTTACATTTGCCAGTTCTGAGTTAGTTTTGATATTTTTTTCCTCATTCTTGCGTGCCTGGTAATTTTTTATTGGATGCCAAACACTATGAATTGGGTGCCTGATATTTTTGTGTTTCTATAAACTCTTGAGCTTTATTCAGGATGCAGTTAAGTTACTTGGAAACTTTGATCCTTTGAGGTCTTGCTTTTAAGATTTGTTAGGCAAGACCAAAGCATTGCTCTTACCTCAGTAAGAGCCTTCTCTGTACTCTATCCAAAACCGCAAGGAGTCATGTTTCCCAGTCTTGGTGGTGGAACAGGCACTATTCCTATTCCATGTGCGCACCAGACACTGTTTGCTCCACGTCTTTTGGATGGCTCTTTCCCTGGCCTTAGTCACCTAACATGCATGTTCTATCAGAATTCAGCTGAAGACGTGCATGGTGGGGTAGTGTTCTGTATAATCCTAAAGTTTGCTCTCTCTAATCCTCTCCAGTCCTGCAAACTCTAGCCACCTGGATCTCCCTGGACTCTTAGCTCTGTCTTAACTTATGGTGGCTTCTAGCTCTACCTGTGTTCTTCTTCTTTGTACTACAGCCTAGAAGCTCAAAGCAGTAAGCTTTGGTAGTTGCTAAGACTGATCTCATTTTTCCCCCCATAAATTGCCTTTGTTGCCTATAATGTGCAGTGTCTTGAACATTTTTTCATGTAATTTGTCTTGTTTACAGTAAGACAATAAATCTGGTCCCTGTTACTACATTTTGGCTATAAGTGGAAGTCTGAATTAAAATTTTAAAAATTTTGTTTAATTTCTAATACAAAATAATATTGATAGAGACAACTGTCATAAGCAAAAGCTCTTTGGAGTCCTCAATAATTTAAGGATATTAAGGGGTCCTGAGATCAAACTGTTTGGAAACCACAGGTTCAGAACATTTCCCAAGATGTTAATGGTTCCATGGACAACTAATTCAGTGTAAGGCTCTCTTCAAATTAAAAGACTTCAACCATAGGCTCTCAAGGCCTTCAGTAGCTAGTGTGCAGTGTCAGCATACAGGTCTGTCTCATTTCTGTAACACTCCCTAAACTTACTTGATTGACAAGACTTTTTTGGCACTAGAGTTGCCAGCAGTCCTCCTTAAATATACCAAACCAATATAAGGGGGGTAGTTTTTAAAATACATGTTTTGTGACATGCAGCACTTTAATACTGCATTCGGATTACTTTGGGGTTACTGACTTACATCCAAATGACCAAGTGATTCCTCCCAAGTCTGGCCCAAAGCCAATTTCCTTTTTCTACTCCTGGAACCTCTGGAAACTAATCTCACAGTGTTGGAGTAGCTATTTTGCCATGGCTCTCAATCAAGAATGATTTAAAGTATGAATGGATATCTTGTTTTATTTTACCAGACAGAAATCTCAAATTACCAGTCACCTGGAAACTTCATTTACATTGTTTTTCCTCTTGAATATCTACTAGCAACTCCAGTAGAGTTTGGGAAACATGGTAGGAATGCTAACAAACTACCCCAAACTTTGGTGGTCTAAAACATTTTTGTTCGTAGATCTGCAATTTGGTCAGGGCGTAACAGGAATAGCTCACTTTGCTCCACCTGGGATCAGCTGGGATGGCTCAAAGACCAGAGACTAGAATAATCTGAAGGCTGCCTCACTCACATGCCTGATGGTTGATACTGGCTGTTGAATGAGCTCTCAGCTGAGGCCTTAGCTATAATGCCTACATGTGGTTTCCTCATGTAGTCAGGGCTTCCTCAGAACATGGTGGCTGAATTCCAAGAGTAAGCATCCTAAGAGGAAGAGGTGGGCAAAAGCTGTATTGTCTTTTCTAACCTAGCCTTATCCAAAATAATAAATACTAAGAATGAGTCACTAAGGTGGGCCTTTATTCAAAGAGAGGGGAATTAGACTATCATTTGATGGGAAGGTCAAAGAATTTGTGGACATGTTCTACCACATACAGAATCAGAAGTTATTCCATAACTTCTCTCCTTCAGCCTCTTTGATTGCCAATTATTTCCTAGACTGCTTAACTACCTCTCCTGCCCCACCATGATGGAACTGGTATGCCTCATAAAACACCTGAAGTTGCTCAAGGCTATGATGTGAAATAAGCACCCAGTACACCCTCCACCAACTTCCTCCCACTTTGTTTCTGCTTATTTATTTTTTTTGATGTCGTACATACCATATCCCCTTTAGCTTTTTCAAAATAAGCAATATATTGGCCAGGCGTGGTAGTGCATGCCTGTAATCCCAGCACTTTGGGAGGCCGAGGTGGTTGAGTCACTTGAGGCCAAGAGTTCAAGACCAGCCTGGACAACATGGTGAAACCCCATCTCTACTAAAAAAAATAAAATAAAAAATTAGCTGGGTGCAGTAGCATGCCTGTAGTTCCTGCTGCTCAGGAGACTGAAGCACAAGAATCGCAGGAACCCAGGAAGTGGAGGTTGCAGTGAGCTGAGATCGCACCATTGCACTCCAACCTGGGCAAGAGAGCGAGACTCACACAGTATAGTATGTTAAAATGAACCTTGGAAAAGATTAAGATATGTTCACGGGCTGGTTCAATTTTACTAATAATACACATTACAGACCTATTACACCCTGCTCCTGGGGGTGAGGGAGTTGGATTGAATCTCTAGTAAAGAACTAAACTTTCTGGGGGAATAATGAAACCATACCTTATAAAGTCTAATGCTCCTCTTCTACCTAAGCCAGCTGAATGTGCCCAGACAATGCAACATTCTTTGCTACTTATACAGAATCAAAATGTGTGAAACACCCCAGTTTCCAGGACTTAGTAGGTCACCATCTATTAGATCACAGTGTAGAGTCTTTAAAAAGAATCATACTAAGTCTCTGATTCTATAATTGCCCATAGGTGTTTGTTTGTACTGAATTTTAGGTATAATCAAAAGAACTTACTTAAGAGTACGGTGGGGAGGGAAAGGAGGAGATGCTGCACTGCTGAACACCAGCTTTGAGGAGCTGAAATAATGATGCCTGTTGCCTAGCAACCTTTTTTTTTTTTTTTTTTTTTTTTTTTTGAGACGGAGTCTCGCTCTGTTGCCCAGGCTGGAGTGCAATGGCACGATCTCGGCTCACTGCAAGCTCCACCTCCCGGGTTCACGCCATTCTCCTGCCTCAGCCTCCCGAGTAGCTGGGACTACAGACGCCCGCCACTACGCCTGGCTAATTTTTTTGTAGTTTTAGTAGAGACGGTGTTTCACCGTGTTAGCCAGGATGGTCTCGATCTCCTGACCTCGTGATCTGCCCATCTCGGCCTCCCAAAGTGCTGGGATTACAGGCGTAAGCTACCGCGCCCGGCCTGCAACCTTTACTCTTAAGGCACACTTGCCTGCTTGAAAGAGAGATCCTTTTCAACAGCTGTAATGCAAACATGAACCTAGTGAGTCAGCTGGGTAATGGGGTAACAAAGGTAGGGAACCAAATGACTTTCCACTAACTGAAATCAGAGCATCTCCTCCAAAAGATTAATTAAAAGACAATGAACACCCAAATCAAGCTGAAGTTTTATTTAAAATGTAAAAGAAATGTTCCCCCAAAATGCTGGTGAATAAAGCAAAAGGATACCATACAGTGCTCTCTTCCTACGAGTTAGCCAGCCTATCCAAGTACAGGGCGATATACAGTACTTAATGCTGGTAGAATTTCACAGTAGTTTAGTGTTAAAGATTATCTGTGCCTAGATTATGAAGAGATTCTCAGTGTGTGATGTTTAGTTCAGGGTTTACATCTTACTGGGCATGAACAAGAGCCCCTGCTCCTTGGCCATAGCCAAATCCCTTGGGCCCAAAGTTCTTTGCATAGCATCCTACAAAGGAAAGGGAGGAAGGATAGTTAGTGCAAGTCCATTAAGCTTTGCTAGCACTGCTTAAGACCCACTCAACAAACCCCCATAAATTAAACTGCTGTGTAAAAGAGCTCAACTTATTTAAGATGTTAAATGTGTCATGTACTAAATATCTTAAAGCTGCAAAGACAAGTCCACACATTCTGGCCCTATAGTGTTCAGCGTGGTCCTGCTGAGTTGCAAGCATGAGTCAGGCCAGGTAAGGTATGTATTTGTCTGTTTTCTTCCATATACTTACGCTTTGCTCAAGACATGAAGGCAAAAGATGGCTATTTGTGGTGTTTTTATCTGGTGGGGAGTTTTAAATGATCAGGAACTTAACTGTGGTTCTCTGTCATCTATAAGCATCTTGGGATATTTTATTTTCAGAAAATAGTGGCATACTTTTCTTTTTTTTTTTTTAATGCCAGTGACATTTCATTAAACAAGAACCAGTGTGGAATATTCATATGGACAGCAGTAACTGAAATGAATTTTACCTTTACAATAGATTTCACCTTCTTTTTCAGTCAGAGTTGTTGATTCAAGACTCTTCCCACACTTTGCACATCGGAAACAGTTTTTGTGCCAGGGCTGGAAGAGATGAATGTGTCAGCATGTTTGAGAGGCCTGTTTCCTACAGTTCAATTTAGATGTATGGCAAGAAGTGGCTCAGGATGATCATCTCAAAGCAAGCTCCTGACTTCTGTGGTTCAGCTCCAATGAGAAGGCTGAAACCAGTCCTCAGTATCTGCACTCTTGATCACCCACAGAAAGGCTGTTTCCCTAAGAGCAGCCTCAGTCCTAACCACAAGCCCAGTCTGCTCCTTTAAAGAGACCATCTTTTTTCTGGCCAAGAACAGCGCAGCTCAAAGAGGTTAGCTGGTAACTTTTCCAAATCCACACACTGAATTCGCATCAGGTGTCCTGACTCGGATTCCTGCTTTTTTCACTATACTGAATAACCTGGAGATTCCCTTACAGTCTGGCCTTTTAAAGTTTAACCTTCAGGAGTGCCCCCTATGAAAACAAGTTCTTTTAAACAGAAAAATGACTTGTCAAATAAGGGAATCACTTCAAAAAAGTTAATGATTCTGATGGAAATGCATTTAAAGAAAAGTTTCATATAAGACAGTGATTTGTAAGACATCACCCAAGCAAGGAATGTGGAAGGGTTAGGGGAGAAAGGGAGCAGAGAGAAGTCATTTGCTGTTATTAATTCCAAATAGCACTTTACCTTTCCAGCTCCAATTATCTTCTCGGCAGCATATACAGAATCCCCACATCTGGAACACTTCTCAGCACCTCCATATTTCTGAGCAAATTTAGAAGTGTTTGGATTTGTTGTAGGCCTGTGAGGCTGAACACTTGTGAAAAGAGGAAAAAAAAAGTAGGCAAGAGTTTCCACAGGGCCCTTTTAAGTACACAAGGCAGGAACAATAGAACTCTGGGACTTAACCGCTACACTGCCTCAAAGCTGGAAGCCTTTGCAGGCCAGCACAGGGGAGGGAATAAAGAAGAAGTGACTCAGGTGCCAGCCAGAGTTACTACTTGAACCTATCTATGGGCTCATTATTATTTCAAAAAACCAGATAGGGACCCAAACGTAAAGATCTGTCCCTCTGAGTCTAAACAGAATTCATTTACTCCTCAGTGTTGGCCTCTCCACTAAGCAATTATGTTACGGTTTATAAAAACTTACCAGAGCATATATTTTTACTCCAGAATAATATCACTGGAATCATACCTAGCTTTTTACTTCACAGGAGTCGGAAAAACCACTATTAAGTAGTTTAAAAATTCCACAAATAGGTAAGTTAACTTTGGTCTGTAACTAAGAAATTTAAGCATGTTTTATAGATTACTTAGTCTCCCAGTATATCTTGAATAAAGGAAAGTGTGAATAGCCAACTTTCTTCATGGAAAAATATTTTATAAATTTTGATTATTACTATGCAATCTGTTTATCTTTCATTTTTCTCTGGTAAGGGTGGTATTTTTGTCACTATTTACAGATCACTGAGTAAACCATATTTCTTGCTATCAGTAGGAACTGTTTCCATTCAGTAAGGTGTACCTAGTATGTGCAGAACATTCTCGGGCTTTGAGAAGACTTTTTTTTTTTTAAGCCCTCTTAGAACCTTATAAATTAGCTGAGCAGATAAAATGATAGCACTCCACAACTGTTAATTTTTCCTACTGGAAAAACAATGTCTTCCTAGCACTTTGGGAGGCCAATGTGGAAGGATAACTTGAACTCAGGAGTTCGAGGCCAGCCTAGGCAACATAGCAAGACCCTGTCTATATATATATATATATATTTTTTTTTTTTTTTAAAAAAAGGAGGGTTCACTGGTCTTTGTGCTTTAAAACTATGGCCATAGTCACTGACTTACTTTTGGGGTCATGGATAAATCTGGTTTGGATTGAGGGAGATGCAGGTTGAGTGAGGGGATATGGATTTTGAAAGGTTTTCAACAAAACCTTTAAAACACAAAAATAGATGTAACAAGATGGAAAAGGAGAGCAGAACAAGTAAAATAAATTTTAACAAAGATAAAAAGGTAAGCTGGGCATCATGGCCCAGAAACTCTGAGGGTGGAAGAAGCTCAAAGAACACAGAGGTGAGCCTCAATGTAGTACATACTGCAGTAGGAAGAGAACAGATTTTGGAACCAAATGGACATTGATTCAAATCCTGGCTCCCTCACTTATTTGTGTGACCCGACTCTTAGTGTCGTCATCTATAAATGGACAAAGTATACCTCAGAGTTACTCTAAGGATTATACAGAATGAAGATAAATGTTCAACAGACAACAGGGACTCAATACATGGTAATTATTATTTTAGCCAAGCCAAGCACCACGTTTCATTCAGGTCATAAGGTTTGGAGTTAGACTAGGTTAAGTTCCAGGCTCTACAATTAACTAACAGTGTGACTTTGGGCAAAGTTTTTACTTAATTTTTCTTGTCTTCATCTGTTCTGAAGAAAGAGAGGAAGCCCTATGTTGTAGGACTGTTGTGAGGATTACACGAGTTAACATATGCTAATGCTGCACGGTGGCTGGCATGGTTTATGGTCTTGTCCAAAGGCCATTTTGTTGGACTATTACACCAATTTTGGACTTCTCAATATAAAATGGATGTGAAAATGTGAAGTTCAAATAGTGGAATCACTGGGTTAAAAGTAGGAGTTAGGAGGAAATTCCAGGTTGGGCACGGTGGCTCATGCCTGTTATTCCATGCACTTTGGGAGGCCGAGATAAGTAGATCACTTGAGGCCAGGAGTTCAGGACCAGCCTGGCCAATATGGTGAGACCCCGCCTCTACCAAAAATACAAAAATTAGCCCGGTGTGGTGGTGCACGCCTGTAATCCCAGCTACTCAGGAGGCTGAGACAAGAGAATCACTTGAACCTGGGAGGCAGAGGTTGCAGTGAGCCGAGATTGTGCCAGTGCACTCCAGCTTGGGTGACAGAGTGAGATTCTGTGACAAAAAAGAAAAAAAAAAGTGTGTGGGGGGAATTCTAAACAAATAAGTTATTTAACCTGAATATGAAATACTAAGTGAACTTTCACAAATTTAGCACCTTGATACGTTGGCAACAAAGCCTTTAAAGTTTAACACTACTCTCTCAAAGAATCAAAAATAAGAAGTAATTTCCATTTTTAAGTAAAAAATTTTAAGTTAGAGAAAAGTGATTTCTTGATGAAAAATGTTTACATAGAAGGAGTGACTTAGGAATTTTCATTGGCTGCTTACATTGCACATGAGAAACACCTCTCATGATTCACACAGCACATTTCTCTACCATTTAATTTCATGACATCCGGTCTCCAAGGTGCTGTGAAATTGAAGTAAATACAAATCACTTGCTTTTGAGAACACGACTCCTTGATACAGCTTGGAATGCTATAAAGCCAGAAGTAGAAATCACTGGAATTATTAATAAGAACTTTGTTAGGTCCAAAACTCAATATTTTGAACTAGTTGACATTAGAAAATCAGAGTCCCATTTTATTTGCTTAGTTTCAACTAAAAATCTGGAGACTGCCAGGTTCCTGTTCAGCAAGCGGCACTAACTGTCGCAACTCATTTCTGAAGGTAACCAACGGTCTCCCAACTCACCTCTCTGGTTTGATGCCCAGCCTCTCGCCACGGTCCATGTTAAGCGTGCCAGCGCCCTGGCCATAACCGTAGCCTTTTGGCCCATACTTCTTTCCGTAGCAGGATTTGCAGTAGATCTCTTCATCGTGAATTGCCACTGTTGTGCTATCTAAATTTTTCCTGCAAACCACTGCAGGGGAAAAAGTTAGACTTTACACATGTTCCAAAGATGCCTTTTTCCTTAGAACAATGGTGGCACAGACACATGGCCTACAAATGGTGAAGGCTGAGGCTCCCTCACATTCCTGGTTTATCCTGTGGCTTCCCAAAAGCCATGAGACAGCATCTGGACTGGCCAGCTACATTCGAGGATTATTTACATTCCTCCATGGATATGACAGTTGCTTCAGAAATGTATCAGAATATAACATCCAGAAGCCTCAAGCTTTATTTTTAGTTTGTTTCGTTTATTTTTTATTCCCTTTCCTGTGGTGCTGATCAAACTCTTACTATGATTTCCCTTTCTGGGAGATCATATTAAGGGAGAAAAGTTTCAAAGGTGGCTATAAAAATGCTTAAACAAAAGGAATAAAACACCACCTTGCTCCCAACCCTCAACACTCTTAATCTTTTCAGCCTTCTCTTAACCAAGTACTGTTAAATCACAACCTAATACAGAACAGAAGGGAAGCTCAGTGCCTTCGGGGACTTGCCTCTGTAGCCTTTCCTCCCCCAAAAGCACCTCCTGGGATAATAATAGTTTTAAATCCTGAATTCTAGTTTTCATCACTAGTCTAGACTGGGAAGTATCACACTTTCCTCTCCCCAGCAGCTTCTCCAGCAGTGATGAGTCTGCCTGAAAATCGTCAAGTGCTTTAAAGTCTGCATTTGTTTTCCCTTCTGTCCCAAAGGAGAATGCATTCTTTCTTGATGGATCTCTTGCCACAGGACATTTCCACGTGTCCCACTTCATAAAACTGCCAAATGTCATCGAGTTTCATCCAGACATTATTTCATTTTCTAAAACTTCAATTAAGCTTGAGAAAAAAGTAAATTGTGAGGAAACTCACTGGTAGCACAATCTGGCAGCTGGAAATCAAAGATCAGAATTTCTTCCCCTTATTTAAAAGACAATTGTATGATGATTCAGAGTAGAATGATGGTTACCAGAAGCTCGGAAGGGTAGGGTGTCGGGAAGGAAGTGAGGAGAGTTAATGGGTGTAAAAATATAGTTAGAATGAATAAGATCTAGTATTTGATAGCACAACAGGATGATTACTGTCAACAATCATTGTACATTTAAAAATAAGACAGTATTAACTGGAATGTTGGTAACAAAAAAATAATAAATGCTTGAGGTAATGGATACCCCATTTAAGATGATGTGATTAACATACATTGTATGCCTGTAGCAAAACATCTCATGTACCCCATAAATATATATACCTACTATGTACCCATAAAAATTAAAAGTAAGAAAAATAAAAGGGGGGGGGTTGAATAAAAAGGAAGGAGGACAAAAGGAAGGACAGCAAAGAGGAGGGGAGGGAAGCAGGACTAGCTGGCTGGTTTAAAATTTAGTCTATTATCTTAAACTAAAGTCTTCTATGGTAGAATGAAATGGCATCTACTCTGGAATCTAACTGTTGAGGCTCAAGTGCTGAAATACATGTGCCTAAAGATAACTATATCTTAAACCATAGTTAACCTAACACCATGCACTGCTGAAGGACAACTACCCTTAACAGAGAGAATAAATGTAAATACTGTTTTGAAAAACCTGTATGAACCAAAACAAGTGTAGGTATATGAAAGTGTTACTATATAACCACCCCTTTCTTCCCCAGTCCTCATGCTGTTCTCTGCAGTAAAATTCTCATAGGTCTGCAAACTACTCTGAATTATTTCCTTAAAAGGCATTAGTCAGCAGAGACAGATATTAGAAAGGATTCGTAGAAATGACCAGTAGAGAACTTGACATTTAGTAAAACAAATGTCAACAGCATACACGCATATGTTACTATGGTGTAGACATTGTGGCTTAACCTAGACAGATGAAACTGAGAGCAATTTCTAAAGTATTTGCATTCTGTTTCCATACTTTCTTGGTTACAAGCCTGCTGAAAAATAGATTCCTTTTTTAAAAAAGTAACTTCTAAAAGCAATGGTTAAACCAAGTCTTCTGAGGAAGGCATACATAGTGAACATTCCTATGTAGTATTTTTATTTTTTTGTAACTGCAACTTTCTGTTGTCTGCTTCTGGTTGTCTGCAAAGCAGTTTAGTTATGCTATTAAAGAGGTCCAGATACCTTGAATGCTGGCTCCAATGAGGGAAAAGGACAATTCAAATTTGAGAAAGAAGTCTTTTCCTGAAGATTATTTCTCAATGTAACCTATTTTTAACCTATGGTTTTCTGTAGGAATTTTCCCTGTACAATACTATTGATAAGGCAAACATCTGCCCGTATGGGTGGGTTTACCTGACATAATCATTCATTAAAGAAAATTCTGTCATTAAATCAGAAGATGATTAATGAAGTGCTTTAAGTTGCTACTCTACAGTTTTAAAACCGAAGACTTTGTTGTCATTAAAGGGAACCTGAGAAAGAGAAAGCTGGGGTGGATGAGGAGCAATCATTTACTCAAAAATGGGAGCTAAGCCCTTGTAATGTGCCAGAAACTGTGCTAGGTGCCAGACCACATAAGTGACACCCAGCACTCAGTGAGGTGGGGGAGGCAGATGTGTTAACAAAATAAAGGCCAAAATGGAGGCCAAAAGCTATGGGGACACAAAGGGAGGCTGGGTGTCTTGGGCCACCCCTCCTGTCTTCGCTGCTAGGCTTGGCATTTACAACATCTAAGAAGACAGGTAAAAACCATTCGTGCTTTCAAAATGATCTTTGTTGGCAAAACCACAATTTTTCCTTAAATAGACATATTGAAGCTCTGTACATACAAATTCCGTCAAAGGTGGAGCATGGAGAGCTACTTACTGCAGAGAAAGCAGCAGCGGTGGAAGCTCCTGCCATCACACTGCACCTCTTCTGCGTGGTACACGGTCCTCCCACAGGCCCCACACTTGTTTCCACCTCCCCAGACAGGCATTCTGAAGGAATAAAGGATTCATTAGAATGTCCCTGTGCTGGTCGTACGGCTCCCTAGAGGGCTATTTAAGCCCAGGGACAGCTGCAGATTTTCGTTTCTTTATGAACCTCTCTAACCACATCTTTCAAAGGCCTGCGTTCCTCCAAAATAACCTCATCTCCTCTCCCAAATAACAACTCTTTCATTAGGAAACTGGCTTGTCGTGCACAAGATTTTTTTTTTTTCCTGCCAGACAAAGGACCTGCATTCAGTACAATAGTACAGGTCACCAGGCACAAAACAAGCTATGCCATTAGAATCCACAGGAGTTAAGAAAGAAGCGTGGGGAGGGGAAAGGCAAGCCTTGTCCCCCTCCCTAATATGCCCATTTTTAATAAACATATTTTTTTGAACTCAGCTGAAGATCTTACCCTTGGGTGGAGGTTTTCATTACATGTTTAATTAATTGTAACAACACTAAATTCTTAACGTTTAACATATATAAGCTATAACACGCTTTCTAGGGAACAAAGTGTGTTGCCCTGCAAGAACAAGTTTTATATTTGTTTGCTGAAATTACACGATTGTAGCATAAATAGCTGTGTCTGTGACTCGTACAACTGCATGCACGGAACTTTTGCCGTAACCACAACAAACGCCCATCCAGATGGCTCCGGCTTAAGTTTCTATGCTTCACTAACCCCAAGGCCCACTAGTGCAGCCAGCAGTTGGGTTTTCCTCTTTGGCAAGTCAGTCAGGCCATACAGAATCTGCTACAAGTTCCCTTCCTACCAGTTGAACTGTTTGCTGAGCATGCAGGAATAGCCTCTGAATAGTATGGCCTGCTGTAAAGGGCAAGCTGGAAGTACAGATCCTAGGGTGTCTCACTGTCATGTAGGGCCAACATTTTCTCGTCTCCCTTCTCAACAAATTAGTCTGCCTCGACCACTTTAAAATGCCTGGTTCTGGCTGGGCATGGTGGCTCACGCCTGTAATCCCAGCACTTTCGGAGGCCGAGGTGGGTGGATCACCTGAGGTCAGGAGTTTGAGACCAGCCTGACCAACATAGCGAAACCCCGTCTCTGCTAAATTTAAAAAAAAAAAAAAAAAAAAAAAAAAGATTAGCCGGGTGTGGTGGCAGATGCCTGCAATCCCAGCTACTTGGGAGGCTGAGGCAGGAGAATTGCTTGAACCAGGAAGCGGAGGTTGCACTGAGCGAAGATTGTACCACTGCACTCCAGCCTGGGCGACAGAGCGAGACTCTGACGAAAAGAAAAAAGCCTGGTTCTGAATGGCCAGCTTCCTCAGATGCCTTAACCAGTACAGAAAGTTGTTCTGCTAAGAAGACATGTTATGTCTGCCCTGCCCTGAGTGGTATCTAAAAACACAAGCGATTGATTCCCCTTTCCCCATCATCTTTTTTGAGCTTCCTTCTGTAGAGTGGCATTTGCAGCCCTTGCCTGTTAGGTCTCCTTAGATAGACTGCTTGCCTCTCTAGGAAATAGGTGGCTAATAAGGCCGAGGCCTCTTACTAACCCAAACCTGGCTAGAAAGAGAAGGGAAACAGAGTGCTACTAAGTAGAAAAGATTAAAGAGTCTCCAATCCTTAAAATCAAAAGGGATGTGGGAAATTCTCATCTTACCCCATTAAGGTGATCCAGAACCTGACAATTTCCTGAACACAAAGATGAGGCCTCTCCAAAAGAAAGATTAATGGAGTTGATCATTGCGGTGGGGAACTTTCCAGCACTCAGTATTCTCTTGCCTCTCTTCTGGTGGTACCTTCCCTAGACTGTCTTCCGGGAAAGCAGCCATCTCTTTCTTAGACCATGTGGTTTAGAGAAGTGCTTATTAAAATGTGGTCTCCTGGTGATGGATGGGCCACTATTCTTGTTACCAATTTGAGACAAACTTCAGGTAAGCATTTAGAAACTTTTATGCCACAAAAACTAAGAGAAGATCAGTGAACTCATCCTGTTGAACAGAGTCATCAGTCTGTACTTGGAAATTAAAAATAACAGTCCTTTACTGATATGGTTTGGCTGTGTCCCCACCGAAATCTCATCTTGAATTGTAGCTCCCATAATTCCCATGTGTTGTGGGACGGACAGGGTGGGAGGTAACTGAATCCTGGGGCGAGTCTTTCGCGTGCTGGTCTCATGATAGTGAATAAGTCTCACAAGATCTGATGGTTTTATAAAGGGGAGTTCCCCTGCACAAGCTCTCTTGCCTGCTGCCATGTGAGATGTGACTTTGCTTCTCATTCACCTTCTGCCATAATTGTGAGGTCTCCCCAATCATGTGGAACTGTGAGTCAATTAAACCTCTTTCCTTTATAAATTACCCAGTCTCAGGTATGTCTTTATTAGCAGCGTGACAACAGACTAATACATTTACCATAGATGATTTGAAAAGCACTGGTTTGGCCAGGTGCGGTGGCTCAAGCCTGTGATCCCAGCACTTTGGGAGGCCGAGGCAGGCGGATCATGAGGTCAGGAGATTGAGACCACGGTGAAACCCCGTCTCTACTAAAAATACAAAAAATTAGCCGGGCACGGTGGTGGGGGCCTGTAGTCCCAGCTACTCAGGAGGCTGAGGCAGGAGAATAGCGTGAACCCGGGAGGCGGAGCTTGCAGTGAGCCGAGATTGTGCCACTGCACGCCAGCCTGGGCGACAGAGCGAGACTCCGCCTCAAAAGAAAAAAAAAAAAAAAAAAGAAAAGCACTGGTTTTAGATGGTACTGACTCTACCCCTATCTTAGTCTGTTTCGTGTTGCTATAACAGTATACCAGAGACTAGGTAATTTATAAAGAACAGACTGAGAATATAAATATTTGAAGGCTGGGAAGTCCAAGATCAAGGTATGGCAGGTTTAGTGTCTGCTAAGGGCCCCATCTCTGCTGCAAAATGGTGCCTCCAATGCAGCATCCTCTGGAGGCCAGGAACACTGTACCTTACATGGCAGAAGAGCAGAGGAGGGTGAACCCGCTCCCACCAGGCCTTTTTATGGTGGTACTAATCCATTCAAGAGAGTGGATCCCTCATGACCTAAACATCTCCCATTAGGCCCAACTCCCAACGTTGTTGCATTGGGAATTAAGTTTTAACATGATTCTCAGAGGGGACAAAAACACTCAAACCATAGCAACCCCCAACTCCAAGGCTGGGCATGTGACTCAGTCACGGCCAATCAACTGTGCCTTATCTTATCCTGCATGCCTCAGTTATGAGCCAATAAATTCCCTTCTTAAGTCATTTGGAATTGGAGCTCCTGTTCCTTAAAACAAACAACACACACACACACACACACACACACACACACACACACACACACACACACCCCTGACTGGTATGGCTTGTTATCACTAAAATGTAAGTCTGAATTTGCAAAAAGCCAACTTCTCTTAACCAGACAGGAACAAAGTCATTCCAAGGGTCCACAAATGTTACCAGGCTTACCGTGAAGGCATCCATATAGGATCAGTATCTTGCGACAATAGGACATGTTTACAAGCTTTCCTTTTGTAGCTGCATAAATCTTTTATTCTCCTCCCTGGAGACAGGCACTCCATTGTTGAAATCCAGAGTGAAACATAAGCCTGGCGGTAAAACCTAAGACATAAAGCCTTGGCTCCAACAGCCTGCACTGACCCGTGTTTGTAGTACAGTTAGAGAAACTGACCTTGCCCCTTGCCTCCAAAGCTACCTGTATTCTGAATGCTCATGGATGCAACAGACATCTGCTGGAAGTTCCCTCATGATTCCTGCAGAACCAAAGGCCAAATCCAGGCCTCCAGGTAATGACACTACAATTACTTATATTGGATCCCAAGTTATCAACTGGTTCTTAAAATACTTTGTTGTTGTCGAGGCATTTCTATCATTGAAACATTTCTCATATTAGAAAGTGAACTGTTAATACCAACTTGGTATTTTTCATTTTCACACATATTTACTTTGGAGCAATCACCAGTAAGGAGCCAGATTGCTATCACGACTGAGGCTAGACTAGGCTGTCTTTGAATAACACTTAAAAATACATTAAAAGGAAAACCCAACTAATAACCTTGTTATTCTCTTCCATACCATTGAAGAACAGCCTGGATTTTTAAGAAAGAAGGAATATCTTCCCTTTCTTTATGTAATTCAGGGTTTCTTTAAACTTACTTATTCTAAGTTAACTGCACCAGCCAAACGTAAATGTGTCAGCTTTTCAGGAAATACCTATCAAAGTTCCACAACATTCAACTTACTGTGCAATAAGTTTCTGGTCCCTTGATGGTGGGGACCACATCTCTGTATTCTCCACACCATCTATCAGAGTATTTGCATATATCAAAATATTGCAGTTCTATCCAGCTTAAGGGCTTTCCTAAGGATTTCTGAATAACCTTTTCTGTGATAGAGGGAAATGATGTAACAAAAGAACATTGTCAGAAAGCTTCAGTTGGATTTACATTTTTTTTTTTTTAAGATGGTTAGGGAGCCAGGTGTGGTAGCTCATGCCTGTAATCCCAACACTTTGGAATTTGGAATTTAGGGAGACGCTATATTACCTATATTTAAAACAAATTTAAAAAGAAATTAGCCAGGCATGGTGGCACACACCTCTGGTCCCAGCTACTTGGGAGGCTGAAGTGGGAGGATTGCTTGTGCTGGGAATGTCAAGGCTACAGTGAGCTATGATTGCACCACTGCACTCCAGCCTGGGCAACAGAGCAAGATGACCCTGTCTCAAAAAAAAAAAAAAAAAAAAAAAAAGTGGATGGTGATAGTTGAATATTCCTTATATTGTTCTCTACTTTGTATGTCTGAACTATTTCATAATGGAAGGAGGGAGAGGAAGTTGATTGACTGGTTTAAACACACCTGGATTAACTCCACCGTTATAATAGCTGCGCAACCTTGGGCTTCATTTTCTCAAGCTAAAAATGGGGATAGGTAGCTCTCTCTA
Source organism: Homo sapiens (assembly GCF_000001405.40). NCBI lineage: Eukaryota > Metazoa > Chordata > Mammalia > Primates > Hominidae > Homo > Homo sapiens. Next base: position 76,871,194 of record NC_000012.12, read on the forward strand.
CCCACAGAAATATTGTGAAGGCAAGATAAGGTAAGCAAATGCCTTGGCAGGAATCCAGTAGCTGTCAGCTTGAAGACAGAGGGGACATCTCACTCTATCCAGCCTGCTATCAGTACTCTAGTAGGAAAACCCACCAACCAGCACCTAGAACATAGCTGCAGAGCAACAAACAAGGTAAGGACAAAACTGAGCTGATTGGTCACTATAAACCTTCTTTTTTGGGGACATTAAAATGCACTCCAAAGTAAAGCAACAGTTCCACATATGGTGGTGACTGTCTAAGAAACAAAGTTCAAGCCGGATGCGGTGGCTCACGCCTGTAATCCCAGCACTTTGGGAGGCCAAGGCGGGCAGATCACGAGGTCAGGAGATCAAGACCATCCTGGCTAACACGGTGAAACCCCGTCTCTACTAAAAATACTTAGCCGGGCGCGGTGGCAGGTGCCTGTAGTCCCAGCTACTCGGGAGGCTGAGGCAGGAGAATGGCGTGAACCCAGGAGGTGGAGCTTGCAGTGAGCCGAGATAGTGCCACTGCAGTCCCGCCTGGGTGAAACTGCAAGACTCCGACTCAAAAAAAAAAAAAAAAGAAAAGAAACGAAGTTCAAATTTGCACTTTTAGGCTGAACCTCTAATGGACATTTCCTGAATTTGGCTGGAAGAAGTATGATGATCTTCCATTTCTGTCACTCTTGGCATTGCTGTGCATAAAAAAAAAAAAAAGCAAGTCTTCATTTTTCTTACAAGCCTTTGGCCGTACTACTCCACTACAGCTGCCATTAATCACAGCAAACTGGATTTGCACTAAGCAATCTGGGCTGCATGCCTTTCCCAAATCCTAGGCATTAATTTACAGAATGGTAAAAGCAAAAATAAAATCCCACTTTACATGTGATAAAATAGGGCAAATTCTGTTTCTCAGTCTTGTTCCTTGTTTTTCAGTGTCTGAAAGAGTTCCAGCACTAGGATTTATCCACTGTATTACATGTTACAACGTGATTTATATCTGAACACCTATGTGCAATTTCTCCTTGCTACCTCTTCTTAGCCTAAGATGCCACCAAAATTCATAAGACTCACCCATGCGGAAAAACTGATATAGTCTAAGTCTGAGTCGTCTTATGGTACAGTTAGCTCACTCTCTAGATAACTGTGGTAGGAGTTATTACGAAATTATTTTAGGCAGATAGAGAGGAAAAGGGGTCCTTGGGAAGTTTTCATTTTTTAAAGCATCTCTGGAAAAGTTTCTTGTAAAGCCCTGGCTCTTAGAGCCAGGCCAGCAACCTTTGATATGCAAATGCAGGCCATGTGGGCCATGCAAATGCCCCACCTGTGCCTGGTGACAGGGCAGCCTCCACATATCCCCACGTGTGTGGAACATCATGGCGCCCTGCATTTGCATACTAAAAAGCTAGGGTGTGAGGGCCAGCTTTTTCTTGGGCTACGTGAATGACATGCCTGGTCAAACCAATCCCCTAAGCCCTATGTAAATCAGACATCGCCTCCTCCAGTCTTTGCATATATACCAGGCTGGTATCCATTGCAGGTGGGGACCTCCTCTTTGGGCTTTGGAGCCCCCCTCCCTGTGTCTCTGTACCGGGGAGCTTCTTCCTTCTGTCTTCTCCCTTCCTTCTTGCTCATTAAACTCTCCGCTCCTTAAAACCACTCCACGTGTGTCCGTGTTGTTTTATCTAAACCGGCGGCAGGATCAAGAACCCTTGTGTTCCTGCACTCATCAGAGCCGTATGATAATCAAGAGCTGACTACCTGGGCCATTCTCATACCATTAGTGCCGCATTTACTGTCTTACTTTAGAATCAGAATGACTTGAATCTATGAAATTCAAATCTATATGTTACCATTTAAAGTTTAAGTTATCTGCCCTGAAACTAAAAGTTTGGATTGAATTAGTCTATATTCTATATTTGCCCAGATTCTAAATGCCTCCAGAAGCTTTGACATTTTATTACTACATGTAGGGCCTTGTTATTACACTAGAACCTGACTATAATCCAATTTCCCCTAAAGGAGAATTTATTATAAAATACAGTCTCATCTTGAGCCACATCCAGGGGGAGTCACTTGTTAAAGAATGTAAGTTAGTAGCACTGTCCCGTTACGATGACTTTTTAGCAAGACCAGGATTTGACAGCTGTAGTTAATTGGAAATTAAGCTTTCAGTTGATGCCTGTTCTACAAATTTTTTCTTCTGTTACCCCAACTACCCACTTAGTCTACTTCTCTTACGGAAGTGAATACCACTGAACCAAGGATGAACTCTTCATGTCTTAGTGATCAGCTCCGTACTCCATTTGGCTCCTCCTACTGAAGCCAAATCCTCAACCTGGCCTTTAAGTCAGTTCAGCATAAGGGCAAAGTAAGAACACGCGTTTGGAGTCCACGAAGTGTCATTTCTCTCATCCGTAAACTTAGGGCAACAGTACCTTTTTTAGAGAGTTAAGAACAGTACCATCTTTATAGAGTTATAGATGAGGTAACGCTTGCATAGTGGGGACTCAAATGATAGTATCAATATTTAGCAATGTTCTAACCTTTGTTATCAATACTCATCTTGCCCTACCATCTCACATATCTATTCCTTCCTTATCCCCCAAACCCTCCCCATCAAGGCAACTGCCTTACCTCCGTTCCATCCAGCTAACTTCATTTCTGTATCTCAAGTAATTTTTCTAGGGTAGAGGCAGCTTATAAGCACTGCATAATGCTTTACTGTTTATGAAGCTCTCATATAAATGTATTAATTCAACAGTATTTCATAAGCCAGGTACTGGGTTAGGGGGCTGAGGATAAATGGGTCATAAGGAAAGGCCCGTTTTGCACAGAGTTCTACTGAGGTGGTAAAAACATGTGGACAAACAATAGCAATATAATAAATGACACAGAGGCATGCAAAAAGGGCTTTTGAAGGTCTGCACCATTTACTTTCACAGGCATGACAAAACAGTTTCATCTTGCAGATCCACTGAGAGTGGATTCCTGGAACTACGTTGAGAAAGATTCTGAAATTCAGTCCAGGTTCTACAATCAAGAGAACTGTGATTAATTATTTTTGCCATGGAAATACCGCAGTACACATGCCACCTTTTAGACATGCCAGATATAAAAGAAACAGTGCGGAGCTTAGAATCAGATAGACACAAGCTGGTTGTCAAAGCTAGTTATCAGCTATGTGATCCTGGCCAAATTTCCTTAACCTCTGAGCCTTAACTTCCTCAGAGGTAACTTGGAAATGGATGAGAACTATCTTATAGGCGGTTGTAAAGATTTAATGAGATAAAGTTTGTAAAGTACCTGGCAAAGAGCCTGTACTCCACAAATGGGCGGGCTTCCTTTTCCTTTAGGAGCACTCGGGGCCTGAATATACCAAGTTCAGTCCGTTAGGTCAAGGGTTCCAACCCCCAGGCCACAGACCGATGGCTGTGTTTTGTGTTCAGGCTACTTGCTACTGGTCTGTGGCCTGCTAGGAACCAGGCTGCACAGCAGGAGGTGAGTGGAGGGTAAGCGAGCATTACCACCTGAGCTCTGCTTCCTGTCAGATCGGCAGAGGCATTAGATTCTCATAGGAGCGGGAACGCTATTGTGAATTGTGTAGGTGAGGGATCTAGGTGCCCACTCGTTACGAGAATCTAATGCCTGGTGATCTGAGATGGAACAGTTTCATCCCAAAATTTCATGCCAAAACCATCCACCCACCATCCATGAAAAAACTGTCTTCCACAAAACTGGTCCCTGGTGCCAAAAAGGATGGGGACTGATGAGTTGGGTGACTTGCTGAGGTCACAGATCTCCAAAGAAACAAATCAGGCTCATGTTTTGATTCCAGAACCACAAGCTTTCCTCAAAACTCCCATATCTGACAGGCACAGAACATTAAGGGTTGAGACTATTCAAATGACCTGAGAATTCTCAATCCTTGAGTTACCAAATTACACACACAAATTACACACCTTCCTCTCCATCCAACTAGCGGTCAGTAAGTGGTCTCTGTGCACCACTCTCACACCCAAACTGCTACTTTCAACCAAAAAGCTTTTTATTACCCCTCTCTGCTAACCTAAATCTAACCCCACTGAAGGAAAACTCTCTTCTAATCTAGTGAACACTCCTGTGTGTACCTCAGCCTCACCATTCTTACTACTTCTGTATTCTGCTACCACTCGTGTCTTCAACTTAGAGTGCAGCAAAATTCGACACAGATTTGAATCACTATCTGCCAAATCCCATATTGTAATTAAAATGCAACTATGCTATAAGCTCAGTAACCCTGATCCCCAACATCTGCCATAGCAATCCACAATCTGTGCAAAACTACAAGTTATTTAATTATTCAAACAATTTAATATTTGCACGATTTTTTCATGGAATCAGACCTAGATATATATGCTGAGACTCTTGTTTATTTGCCAAATGATCACAGGTTGTTCATTTGATCTGCTAGTTTTCTCATTTTAAAAATGGGGACAATGCTTATTTATACAATAAGGCAGTTTTTAGATTAAACAATATATGCAAAACACCTAGAATAGTGTCTGCCACATGACAGGTAATAATTACAAATACTTCTATAAAGCTTAATATATGCTTTACTTATGTTTATATTACCTCATTTAATCCTCATAACAACTAAAGTAAGCACTACCACTATTCTCATTTTATGAGTGGGGAAACTGAGGCATAGAGCTATTAAATGACTCATAACTGTGAAACCAAAATAAAATTATCAATTCAACTTAAAAATGAATACCAATAAAATTCCAATTCAAAATTATTTCACTGATGTTTTGCTAAACTAAACCCCTGGTAGCAATACAGATGTAGTACCGACCTCCATGGCTATGGCATAGGTTCTTCTTAAGCTGAGTAGTTCCTGCACTGCCGTGTGCTGGATGAGGATTCAATTCTCTCTGCTTATTTTCTTTTGGAAGTACTGTGAAACCACCATGAAGCCCTCTTTCCTATAGTGAACTGGGAAGTAATTTGGCCCTAATGTATTACATGGTGTCTGTTCTTATTAGTCGAAGACAATAGTATTGTTGGCACAATAAGATTGTAAACAAAAAAACAAGGAACCTGATATCCTTTCCAGATCATTCACCATGTACTTCTATTAGTTCTTCCTCTGTGACTTACAACAATAAAATTTTTAACAATCAGAAATTGTGCCTGTGGTAAAAAGGAATTTGAAAAGGAAAAAATATAAAAAAAAGAAATTGTGCCCAGCTTCTCCACTATCCAGACTGAGAAATATTCCCTTAATTCAGGATTCTTAACCCAAAGGCCACAATTCCTTTTAATTCTGGGGGTTGGGGAACTTGGTACCACATACTTTATGTTACGTCATTTTGAGAAGGGGTCTGGAGGCCTCACAGGAGTGCCATGATATAAAAAGTCAGAAACCCCACCTAGGTAATCAAAGATCCAGAGGTGTCTGGGGATCCCCACCCAACAGAACCCAAGGGATGGCATGCTGGCAGTCAGGGTAAGGTGCCTTGAGGAAACCTGTGAACATCTGCACAGAGAAGAAAGCTGGCCTCCAGGCAAGGTCTAGGAAACGCTCTTCAGGTGTGAGCCAGCTCTCTCCTGAAACAGACTTTCACTGATAGCCTTTTCCCACATATATTCAACCAAGTGCACAACTTTGTCTAATTACAAGGAACTACTCCCAGGCTGGGCTGGGCTTTGTACAAGTATCAACAGGCCTTATGACAACCCTGCAAGGCATGTGCCACTACACCCATTTTACATGATGAAGTATTGAGGCCAAAGAGTAAAGTTAATTTGCCCAAGGGCATCAAACCAATGGGTACTGGAGTTGAGGTGTGAATTTGGTCCTGCCTGGCTTCGTTCCTCCCCCTTTCAGCCATGCCTCCTCTCCCATAGGGGGCTCCCTTTTGGGGTTCATTTGATTCACCTCACTTTTGACAAAGAAGAAAACCTAGAGACCCAGATCACTATAGCAATTTAGTGTCAGAGTTGCCTCTGGACTCAGGCTTCTAAAACTCCTCATTTATTGCTGTCCTCTACTCTACACCAACATTCTTGCTGTTTTAGGATAAAATTCAATCTCCCCCAAATCCAAGTGATTTTGCAATTTCATCAGGACAGGCCTCCAGCAAGTACTGCTTTCAGCACAGTACTTAGCCTATACCAGTATCAATCAATATTTGTTAAATACATTCGGAGAAATGCATTAAAAATTTATGATACGAACTTTAGATCAAATCTGCAAACAAATACCTATTGTGTGAGTCAAATTATATTTTTGTTCCCTATAATCACAACCTTATTCGCTCCTTCTTTCAGTCAATTGTCCAAGGTACCCAAGCAAGCACTGTGAGTTTCAAAGACTCATGTGATGCAGGTCTGGTCTCAAAGGTAACACAGAACCAAAAGAGCAAAGAAAACTACAATGCAGAGGAGAAAGGACCCAGAGAAATACTGACAAAGTATCAGTGACAATGGACGAGAGCGATGACCCCAGGAGTACTGGGGGAGACCACTTAGTACTTCACAACATTCTTTGTAGCTTGGCATGCAGTTCTGAAACTATGTTAGATTCTCCCTTTCAAAATCTATCACCCAATTCTTTCTTGAAAAACGTGAGTCAAAGTACAGCCAACTTTGTGGCTGTCCTATTTGAATTCTTGGCATTTTATGAGGAGAGTTTTAAAACAGGTTAATTGGAAAAGTCAAGAACTAAATACGACGATTTTCGCTGCCCGGGTTAAAAAATTACTAACTGCCCCCGCCCCACCCCCCCACCCCCCAAAAAAAATTCTGTACCGAAAAGCATTTATAAAGGGAAAATGTGCTTGGTTTGCAGACTGCAAATAAAACAGGTTAAACATTTTGGGTAGCCATTTAAGTAAAAATCGTTTAACAAATGTCCTGGCTTAGAAGGGGGAAAGGGATCCGCCGGTTTAGAAAGCCCGCCCCCGCCCCCAGGGGGTGCCTACGTGGAGCTCCTGAATCTGGCTCTGGAGAACCCAGAATGTGATTCGCAGGACCTGTCGCATAATTTCACAACCAAGCATTCTTGCATTCTTCTTTGTACCTGAATCGTAGAAAGTTCTGGAAAAAGCTAGGAGTAAGTGATTGACATTCCCTGCTGTTCCTTCAACATAGAGGGGTTCGGTGCTGGGTGGGCAGACACCACCAAACAATGGGGATGCCAGGAGCCCGGTACGGCGGCAGGAGCAGTACCCTGGGCTCGGGGGGATGTAGAAGCCCCATTCCACCCCTAGGGGACAGAACCCAGTAAGGTCGCCCTCGGTGCTCACCACACTCCGGGCAGAGGGGGCCCTGAGACTCCGACCCCCACCCCAGAGAGAGCCTGCCGCTGGACGAGGGGACCGACGGCTGCTAAGAGGCGGATTAGCAGAAACGCGAAACTCACAACCCGCCTCTCTCCCAGAGAAACCAGTATGGAGAAATTAAAGGTCATATAAGATTATTTACCTGCCCCGCGGGCCTGGGATCCCAGGGCATGGCCTGGACGGCCTCGGGGACAAGGGCAGGTGTGTTTGGGGGATAAGAGAGAGAAAATCTGGGGCGCAGGGATGAGAAGGCTGGCAGGGGCACAAATGCGGACCGGGATGGGGATGTCGGAGGAGACCGGGGCGCGCCGGCCGGGCGACAGCACGACCCCGGGAGGCGGTGGAAACCCCCTGCAACTCCCGCCCCGGGGTTGGCGGCGCCGCGGAACCGCCCCACCGCCCCTACTCACTTGAGTCGGAGGCGGGAGCACGTACCGCAGGCGGAGCTAGCGAGGCTGGGCTGGAGGGAGGGTCCAGGGAGTCCGAGATCCCAGGCGAAGCGCGCGCCGGTGCCTTTTAAAGAGCGCTCGGTGGGCGCGGCCTGTGTCCGCCCCGCCCTCCTCCCAGCCCCGCCCGCCGGATTCCCGGAGCCGCTTGCCGGGCTGGGGCGTGTAGCGGGCGGGCTGCCCTCTGCCCGCTCCGGGCTAGCCACCAGGAGACAAAAGGCAGGAGGCCCGCCTCTTCCTGCAGCTTCCCGCCCGCCCGGCATCTTCCCACGTCCCGGGACCGCTCCCTCCCAAAGGGACCCGGCAGTTCCAAAAGCCACTGGGACTTGGAGAGGGACTTCCTTCCCCTCCAGGGAGGCCCGGCGGCGGGACGGTCCCGCTGGAAAGTGGCCCCCGCCGCCCTGCGTCGGACCTGTCCACCGCGAGCGCCGATCCCCCTCTTCGCGGAGACAGTCATGGGCCGGGAGGCTCCAGCAGTAGAAAGTCAGCCAAACGGGGCTTTCCGCCACCTCCCCCTTGCCTTGTCCTTGTCAGTAAACTCAACGTGATTAACTTCCCTAGTTAACGCATATTCTCTCGTCCGATTTCCAGCTTCTGGGAATCCACAACTTCTTATTCTTAAAGAGCAAAATTCATCTAGACTAAATAAATGACGTTACGAAAACGCCCCATTCCCAAAGTGTTTCGCTCTTCCCCTCCACCAGGGCACAGCACGCGATGCTGAGGGGGAAGAAACCTAAACCCAGGCAGAAACCCCGGGCGCCACAGGCCCTGTATTTATATGTGTTGATGTCAGAAAAGCACAAGGATACCGTGACATCCGAAGGGACCTAATGCCTAAGCTACAGGATGATTTATTGTTTTAGATGAAAAGGAAAATAAACAATGCAATCTCTATCTGGTTCATATTCTAGGCCTCCTCATGACCTCTCCTGCCAGAAGCAATGATCCCGGAGAACTGATACTTGCGGAGTGGGGAGTTCAAAAAAGTCAGTGACCAAAACCCCCTCATGCCATAAATGCTATTGCCTCCTCTGGTCCAGAGTTTCTCATCCTCCACACCATTGACATCTTGGGCTGGATAATTCTTTATTGTAGGGGGCTGTCCTGTGCATTGTAGGAGGCCTCCACCCACTAGATGCCAGTTGCAACCTGCCCCCGACGTTGTGACAATCAAAAAGTCTCTGGACATTGCCAAATGCCCTCTTGGGGAGAGGGCAGGGAGCACATATCCGCATGACAACGTACAGAACCGACTTATAATATTATTATTGTTTTATTTTATATGCTGGGGCCAATCCAGGATAAACTCATTATAGCTGCCTTGTTCTCTGTCCACCAAGTACTGTCCAAAAACACATAGTGGTGATTGACATCTCCTGATACTGTGGCAGGAGTCTGGAAAGCATTCTTGCCTGCTGTGAGCTTTTCTAAATATGGGCAATCCTTATTTCAGTGATATCAGCTAGTGTAAGTGACTTGACTCACGGGCCAACAGGAAAATTCAGTCCCTCAGATTCTACATTCGCTTTAGCTCAGCTGCTTACAATGTTTATTTTTTCTTGTATAAGTTTGCCTAGTGCTTCTACTGAATGAAACTGTATCAGTGAGTCTCACTGCAGCAAACCACTGCCCTTTCTCTCCTACCCTGAGTTCTTCTCAATGCCTCTTTGTGGAAGGGGCCTCCCAAACCTGAGCTGTTTGCTTTCCGTCAAGCTCATGTTGTCCCTAAATTCCATAGCCATGTCTTATCATTTGAAATTGGGCTTGTTGGCCGGGCGTGGTGGCACATGTCTGTAATCCCAGCTACTTGGAGGCTGAGGCAGGAGAATCACTTGAACCTGAGAGGTGGAGGTTGCAGTGAGTGGAGATCACGTCAATGCACTCCAGCCTGAGTGACAGAGGGAGACTCCGTCTCAAAAAAACAAAACAAAACAAAAAAGAAATTGGGCTTGTTTCTGACCTAAAAGTGTTTCTGCTGTCTGTCCCTGTATGTGTTTGTCTCCGTGTACTTCACACTGAGTCTGCAGATGATATACAACGTGTGATTTTGAACAAATCTGTATTTGTATTTATCAACATTTAAAAAATATTTATTTTCTTTAAACATCTATTTAAACTGTTGACTCTTTTAGTTATGAACATGAAGAAATTATTTAAGAGTTTTTAGACAGAGTGGTGCAAAAGAAAGAGTATGGGCTTTGGAATCAAACACACATGATTTCAACATACAGCTCTGCCACCTATCAGTTTTGTAAGCTTGGGCTAAGTACTTGACCTCTATGCATCTGTTTCTTTATCTGTAAAAAGATAATTCTACACATCTTGTAGTGTTGTTATGAGGATTAAATTGGGTGATGTATGTAAAATGCCAAACATAGCACCTGGCACATGGTAAATACTGAATAATTGATGGTTGTTATGTTAAGCAAAGATATCTTGATGTCCTTTTTGCCTCTCAAGAAAGAAATAAAATTGTGCTTTGCTAAGTACTCATGTTGCCTTCTTGAGGGCTTGCTATTAAGAAGGTATGGAGTGTTTTCCAAAACAATTAAGAGTCTTCAGTAGGAAGCATCTGCGCGCCTGCAGAAGGATAGTGGGAAAAATGTGTCCTCAAGGAGAAGGATAAACCCTTAAGTCCACATGGTCCTAGTCTGTTTGACCCCTTCAACCTTGTAATAGGCAGAATCAAAGGTTAAATGTGTCCAGCAGGCTATTTCTTTTTCCCACTCAAAATGTGTATTATACTTGTAACAACTCTATTCTCTGGAATTCATCAACCAATTTCAAATCAAAGCCCTCTCTCAAGGTCACTGTCCTAAGGCAAGTTGAACCAAGGTTGTTGCCTTTTGTCATGACCTTGTGCTTCAAACGTAGATTTTAAAAATATTTTTATTATTTTTATTTCATGCCCCTTTTTCTTAACAAAACTCTGAATCAGATGAATGTGAATTTAAACACAAAGCCTCTTTATTTTAGGGCAAGGCTTTCTTCCCAGAAGGCAAGAAAGCTATAGTGAAGAGGAATGTCTTATTATAATGATTTTAGTATGAAAAAAAGGGAAACAATTTGCACTTTGCTAACCTACACATTTAATAACACAAAAAGAAGCAGTTTTTCTACCTTATTTCTTAGCTAAGATTTAGCAGCAGTTGTGGGAATTAAAAATTACTCATACTTAACCCTAATACTCTGTGATTTATTATCTGACAGAGAAAAGAATAATGTAAGTGATATATGCTTAAATGTTGGAAGGTAGATTAGAGTATCTTATTCTTGATATTTGTCATAGTTGCTTTTTTTAACCTGCTATAAACTCCTACTTTCTTATACTTGCTTCATTTCCTAACTCTCTTTCTCCAGTAGGCATTATTTTCATTCAGTGCTATTATCTTCTATTATGATGTTATTTATTTCTTCTTTTCAACCAGAGCTTTCTATCTTTTTGAGCTCTGCTTCTGCTTTCATATTATAGCAGAGTTTTTCTAGTTCTACTAGTAAGAAAGACACCATTAACTTCCCAGACAGCATATTCTATCCATCTTATCTTAACCCCTTAATTCCTTTATCTCACTTTTCTCCCTCTTTTTCAGCTGGTGACATCACCTTCTTCTCCTTCATTCACATTCACAGCCAGTCACCAACATTTCCTCAACCTTCCTCCACTTTGCCTCGAAGCTTCCATGTTTTCTCCTATGTTTGTACTTGCTGTCCCTGATCTTGGAGGAGCAAATGGTTCTCCCACTCCCTACCAACAGTGTCCACTCTGCCTAGGCTTTTGATCCATTTCTTTGGCATTTTTTAGTTATACAGTCATGTGCCACTTAGTGATGGGAACAGGTTCTAAGGAATGCATCATGAGACAATTTTACCATTATGCCAACATTGTAGAGTATACTTACACAAACCTACACCATATGGCCTAAGGTATAGCCTATTGCTCATGGGCTACAAACCTGTACAGCATGTGACTGTACAGAACACCACAGGCAATGGCAACACAATAGTATTTGTGTATCTAAACATATCTAAATATAGAAAAGGTACAGCAAAAACACAGTATTGTAGTGTTACAGGACCACCCTCATATTTGTGATCTGTTGTTGATTGAAAATCTTCATGTGGCACGTGATTGTACTCCCTTGCTGTTCAATTTCAGGCTCTATTGCTTTCTTTCCTTTCAAATGACAAAAATTCTGCTCACCCCGTATTTTTAAAAGCTGACATAAATATCCCTGAGTCGTGTAGTAGGTATTTGTGATTGCCTCTGTAGCATCCATTCCTCTCTGTGTGGTTTCAGGCATGTGAGTTCATGGTCCTGTTTCAGGGTGGAGCACTGGATCCAGTCAAGGCATTTGAGGCCCCGGCTTGGGGATGGTAAGCACGTGACCTAAGCCCATCCAATTAGAGTGAATCTCAGAACTCTGCTGGGGTGCGGAGTCAGAGCCAAGCTAGCCTATTCTGGAATGTGCTATGTGCATGGAGGAGGCCTTAGAGTGGTTGCAGTCATTTTTGCTAGGAACCTGGCCACGGATGACTTGACACAGACAAGAGGACAGAGAAAACAGAGCTCTGAACAAGTATTCACCAAGTTTACCTACCTGCAGGGCTTTTTCATTATGGGAGCCAATGAGTCCCCATTGCTGTTTAATCCATTTTGAGATGGATTTTCTGTTACTTGCAGTTAGGACTCCCAACAGATTGTGATGGCTTAAAATCATGTCCATGGATTCTTTGTTACTCCCCCCTTCAACAGGTAGAATTTAATTCATGCCCTTACCCTTGGGTGCGGGCTAGATTTAGTGCCTTGCTTCTAGAAAATAGAATGAAGTGCATGATTTTGAGACTAAGTCAAAAAACGCTTTGTGACAACTTTTTCCTCATTCTTCCCCCACCCTTTTCTTTTATCCATCCTCCCCCATCTCCAACATCCTGCCAACATGTGTGTGTGTGTGTGTGTGTGTTTCATCACTGCTATGGGGAAAGCCAGCTGCCATGTCAGGAGGACACTCAAGCAGTTAAGAACAGTGGCCTGTGGCCAACAGTCCCAGAGGAGCTAAAGCCTTCTGCCAACAAAAATATGAGTGAGCTTGGAAGGAGATATTACAGTACAGTACTGTCAAGCTTTGAAATGACTCCAGCCCTGGCTGACACTTTGACTGCAACCTCGTTAGAGATACTGAGACTCTCACTGTGGTCATTGGAGAGTTCCTAATTGCCAAACCCCCAACTGCTATTTTTCAGTCCTTACCCTACTTGACCTCTTAGTAATTGGACAACATTGAGTAAACATATGATTGTGTATACATGCACAGAATGAAATATTTTAGAAGGATGACACTTCTGAAATTTCTCACAAATGTTAACTTCTGTCTCTAGCTACTGTTCTGATGAGAAATGGAAAGAAATTTTGAAAGCTACCACCACTAGAAAGCTTAGTTTCTCCCCTAAAAAACTGTAATGTGAGCAACAGAGGATGCGTTAAACAATGTTTTTTATTATCTCACTTGTGATAAGATATACCATTTTATAAATATATATATATGTGTTTACTTTCTAACTTTTACATAGATTCCAAAATCCTTGCTAAAGATTACATAAAAATAAATGTAGGCTGGGCACAGTGGCTCACGCCTGTAATCCTGGCACTTTGGGAGGCCGAGGCAGGTGGATCACATAAGGTCAGGAGTTTGAGAGCAGCCTGGCCAACATGGTGAAACCCCATCTCTATTAAAAATACAAAAATTAGCCGGGCCTGGTGGTGCGCACCTGTAGTCCCAGCTATTCAAAAGGCTGAGGCAGGAGAATTGCTTGAATCTGAGAGGCAGAGGTTGTGCTGAGCCGAGATCCTGCCACTGCACTCCAGCCTAGGCAACAGAGCAAGACTCTGTCTCAAAATAAATAAATAAACGAATGAATGAATGAATGAATGTATACTCATCCATCCATTTATTCAGGAATTAAAAATTAAGTGTATATTTTATCTTAAATGTAGTTAATGACGTTTCCGTATATATATCTTGATCATTGAGCATCTCCAGAGAAAACCTCATAAAAATTTCCACTTAAAACAGTGTGCGTGTGTGTGTCTGTGTATTTCTCTGGGAAATGATGTCAAGAACGAAATTCTGGAAACAATACATAATGCTATAATTGATTGGCAGTTAATCATTTATGGCATATGCCTGCCAGGATTTTTGTGTAATCCTCACATACGGGATTAAAAATCATTCATAAAATAAAACTTTTCTTGTAAAAGAAAATACAAACTGTCACGTCTGTAGCTCTCACCTCATGAGAACAGTGTTAAGCTATGGGAAAAAGGTTAATGCCTTTAAAAAAAAAAAGCTTGTATAAATCCTGTATTTACATGTTTTTAAGGAGTGCTGGCTTAGATTTTACTTTAAACAGTTTTTACTTCTGCTGTTTCAAAAAGATTGTGGGAACCTAATTCCCATACCTAATTCTTAAATGATGTTATACGTTTAAAGACTCAAGCTATTACTTTGGGAGGCTGAGGCGGGCGGGTCACATGAGGCCAAAAGTTCTAGACCAGCCTGGCCAGCATGGCAAAACCTTGTCTCCACTAAAAACACAAAAATTAGCCAGGTGTGGTGGTGCACGCCCGTAGTCCCAGCTACATAGTCCCAGCTACTCAGGAGGCTGATGCATGAGAATTGTTTGAACCTGGAAGGCAGAGGTTGCAGTGAGCCAAGATTAAGCTGCTGCATTCCAGCCTGGGCAATGGAGTGAGACTCTGTCTCAAAAAACAAACAAACAAACAAACAAAGACTCAAGCTGCTGATTTATTTGTTCCTGTGTTCACTTCAATTGTAAGAGTTCAGAGTGCTACTGCAGAACCAAACTCCACTGACCTGTTAGTGGCTGGGTATGAGCTCAAATACCGTGTGTGTGGTGTGTGTGTGTATGTGTGCACACATATATAAGTACACACACGTACATATATGTGTATGTACAAACATACACACACACAGACTTGCAAAATGATCTGTATCCTCTGTGAAGGGTATTGGGTTATCGTGGAGTGATCATCCATCCAAATTCAGCTGAAAAACTATAAATGAGAAAGGGTCAAAGTACACGCCATTGGCTGTTCTTCAAGCCAACATGTGTTTCAACCAAATAGCAATGACTATTGACTGAATGTTCCTTGCATGTTAAACATGTAGGAATATTGTTTTCTTGTCCTTGTAAGGTGATTATCTTTCTTTCCATTTGACATGTGAGGGAAGTGAAACTCATGGAAATTGAATAACTTGTCCAAGGCCACATAGCTAGTAAGTGGCAGAACTGGGATTCAAATCCAGTCTGGATCCAAACCTCACACTCTTTCCACTGCAGAACGTGGCCTTTTAGCAATGATCCTTTCCTGTTATACTAGAAGAGTGAAGAAAGTACCTTTGCTTAAAGACACTAAAAGACTGATAGCTCCTTGGGAGCAAGTCTTTCAGCAAACCGAACATAAATCTTTCCAATCTGAGGAGACCTCCCCAGCATAGCTGACTAAGATGAAGTCTAAGACAAGTAAGAGTACCATGCAGAATCCGAGCTGGTCTTGAACCAGGGGAGGAGGGCTGGGGTTGGGGCCTCTGCTGAGAGAAGGTAGGGGTGTGGCATGAGGTGGATGCCAAGAAGACACAAACACATTTAAAGGGCATCACATTTTGATGATCCTCTTGGGGCTAAAGCCTGCCAGATGATGGATGAGCATGTTACATTATGCTAACACAAAAATACCAAACTCTAACTTAGAGAACAGCCAGGCTGCCATTTTGTCCCACCTCCTTTTTGGGACATAACGTTGGTATAAATTCCTTATACAGAGTGGGAATGGGGAGATGTACATGTGGTCTTGCCTCGGATGAGTCATTTAACTTCTTTAAGCTTAATTTTCCTAAGTCTGGCTGATCACTCAGGTCCCATTCAGCTCTAGGATTCTATGATTCCACTAGTAGCAATTGTATGTCACATATTTTTTGACAAGGAAAGTGGTCACATGTATCCATCAGGGTTCTTAGTGGAAGATAACAGAAAGTACAAGAAGAGCAAGGAGAAAAATGGTGCTATAGAGTCAGGATCAGTGCCTGACGCCAGAGTGGCACAGCTGATGCCTATACTTGCCTCTTAACATCTACTATGCTAGGGCCTGAGAGTAGACCTTCTACTTCAGCTACTAGATCCGCCATCCTTGACCATGCCAGCCCCTTGTGCTGCTTATTTGCCTTCCAAATCTGGCTCAGGATATCTTCCATTAGGGCTTGGTGGAAATTATGTTATGTGTGGAACTCAAGCTGCAAGAGAGTCTTAGAAATGTTTACCTGTCTAGCCTCTGGAGTACAGGAAGCCTTGTTCAAAGAGTCAGTGGGTGTTAAGTGACCCTGTGTGTAGTGTCTGCAACATCATGTTACATTGCTGTGCAAACAGGGAGGGATCAGGTCAGGCGCGGTGGCTCACACCTGTAATCCCAGCACTTTGGGAGGCCGAGGTGGGCAGATCACCTGAGGTCAGGAGTTTGAGACCAGCCTGGCCAACATGGTGAAACCCCATCTCTACTAAAAACACAAAAATAACCCGGGCATGATGGCACACACCTGCAATCCCAGCTGCCTGGGAGGCTGAGGCTGGAGAATCGCTTGAACCCAGGAGGCGGAGGTTGCAGTGAGCTGAGATCGTGCCACTGTACTGCAGCCTAGGCGACAGAGCGAGACTCAGTATCAAAAAAGGATCATATGTATACCATGAGCCTATTTTTCTATCTGTAAAAATATACTCTATAAAAAAGTCTGAAAAGTGTACACTAAAATTTTAGGAGTGCTTTGATCCTCCTAAATTGTTGTGTTTTTATCTTCTTTTTGGTTCTCTGTATTGACCAATGTTTCTGCCATGAATGAGTATTACTTGTATAATTTCTTAAGAGTGATGCTTATTATTTATTGGCCTATGATTTTACCTGACATAAAGGTGGTATCCCTGCCCTTTTGTGTCTTGAAGATGTCTGTCTTCAAAGTACAGGCCACAGAATTAGACCTTGAAAATAACTTTAAAGGGCAAGTAAACCATATTCCAATTCAGATCACGTTATCAAACTTCTAGACATTTGAATCAGTTTCTTCATGGAGACTCAGACAATACAATAATGTCAGGAGATTATCTGGAGAAGTCTTTTTTTCTCCTTGGAGTCTTTTCACCCTCTCATCTCATGTCTCTCATTGCTCATATTAAAACAATGATAATTTTCTTATGAAGTCCACAGCGGCATTAGCCAGTTTTATTAATAAGCAAAGATAAATTTGAATTACAGATTATTTGCATGAAGATCACACAATGTCATACACAGGAATAGTGAAACAGAATGAAAGATAAAGCTGGAAAAGGAGGTGAGAACTAGACCCTAGCGGTCTTTGAATACCATGTTGAGGGATACCGAATCACTTAAAATCTCCTCCGCTCAAATTCCCTCAATGGGTGCTGATGTTTTTCAAATAGAAAATGCTAAAATATATTCAACCTATTCTTCACCTTGAAGTCTCTTTTTGAACTTGGATCAGTAGTGTATGAGATTTTGAAATCAATATATAATAATGATTCATAAAACTTGGCTTAAATCATTCGATTTATTTAATGCCACATAGAATGCTGTGAACTATTTCGGTGTTGGATTTCTATACTGTCTTTCTTCTAAAAATTCTCAGTTTGATTAAACCTAGTTTTTTCAAGCACCTGCTATGTGCAACGTACATTGTTAGGCTTTGAGGAATACAGCAATCAAAGGTTTCTGCTCTCAAACAGTTTGCAGTTTAGTTAGGAGAGCCAAGACATTCACAAAACCCTGCAATACAGAGGATAATGTGGGACATAATATGGGAACAAAGGAGCTCAGATGGGGAGATGATCTTTATACTAGGATGCAAGAGCAGGCAGTTTGGTTTGGGAGGTTAGGGAGGCAGGGGGATGGGAAGAGTAAGAGAAGGCCAATAGGGGGTGTGTTGTCAGGCCAGTTGCCACTGTGGCTGCCTGGAGCTTAATCCCCTGAGGAACATGGGAAATAATATGGAGACAAACTTAGAGTTATTCTACCCAAGGAGCAAAGCGGCTGAGGTCTTTATTTACCAACTTCCATCAGGGGCTTTTCTGGAGGGAATTACTTGTCAGTGCTTTTGGTCTGTCAAGCAAGTGAGCAGAGGGGTCTCTCCCAGGTGTGGAGGAAGCCCTCAGTCAAAGACAAAGTAGTAAAGGTAAAGTTGGAGGCATAAGAGTGGGACTTACCGCCTGTAATCCCAGCACTTTGGGAGGCCGAGGCGGGCGGCTCACGGGGTCAGGAGATCGAGACCATCCTGGCTAACACGGTGAAACCCCGTCTCTACTAAAAATACAAAAAATTAGCCGGGCGTGGTAGCGGGTGCCTGTAGTCCCAGCTACTCGGGAGGCTGAGGCAGGAGAATGGCGTGAACCCGGGAGGCGGAGCTTGCAGTGAGCCGAGATCGCGCCACTGCACTCCAGCCTGGGCGACAGAGCGAGACTCCGTCTCAAAAAAAAAAAAAAAAAAAAAAAAGAGTGGGACTTACCAGCATATGCTACAGAAAGAGGTTGATTCTAAGGGCAGAGGGATGTGGAAGTCTTGATACTTCAGGGAGGATGTGGTACTTCAACTGAGCCTTAAGGAGATATGGCATCAACAGATATTGGCAGGAAAAAGCCATTCCAAATACAGGGAGCAAAGACCCAGAGAAGCCAAGTTCAGAATATTGTCCATAACTGATATAGTTGGTATAGCGCTATCTTGTCTGTTTCTCCCACTTAATATTACTTAATTCTATTTTCATTGCTGCCTAGTATTTCATGGTGTTAATGACTCTTAGCCATTCCACTATATTTAAACATGCGGGTTGTTTTCAAATTCATTATTAAAAATGTTCATTTAATCAATAGATATGTATTCCACAAATATAAAGGTGAGCAAGATAGATTAAATACCTGCCCTTATGGAGTTGGCATTTTAGGTGGGAACATTATTGAAACCTATTCATGGCAGATCAGTCAGGCTGCAGTAGTTCACAGTGGTTCACCCTTGGGAGAGCAGGCAGGTGAATCAGGGAGCTGGCTGTGAGCTCCTCGCAGGCAGGGAACTGGCTTCTTTACACTGAAAACCTCTTTAACTATCACACCACCTGGCATATATTAGATTCTGGGTAAAATTTGCTAATTATGGAAGAAAAATCCCTAAGCAGGGTGTGAAAGGGTTAATAAGGAGAACTCAAGTTTAGAGTCTTGTAAGAGAATCATTGTGAATCACAGCACTTTTTTCCTCTGTAATTTTCTGTGTGTCCTAAGACATAAAATTTATGTCTCAGACATTTTCTTTTGTGAAGTCTTTAGCTCGGGAGGAAATGTTTCCTGTGGCTAAGGACACATTTTCCTCGCTTGTTAACATCATAGTATGTAAAGAAAGCTCTTCTTTAAATTCTAGAAGCAAACTATACCACATGCACGTTTTTACCACCTGTGTCTTCAGAGAAACACCTGCCCAGGCTTCTGGCTTTCTCTTGAATTATGTATCAGTCAGCAGTTGCATATATAATGTTTTATCTTGCTAAATTTTATCTCTTACTAAAACAGTTCATGAATCACTTCTTATGGTTTTCATATAGGCTACAGGATGACTGTATTCACATTTAGATCCAATTCTCTGACAAATCTAGGAGACTATCTTTAAAATTTACCCCCAAACATCTATTTTCTTGCTAAGACTTACTTTTTAAGATCTCTCCCCCACCTCCTCCTCTTTTTTTTCTTCTTATTCTAGTGTATTTCCCTCTCCAGAACCAACAGCTAACATTTTTTTCAGGTTTATTTTCAGGAATTAAATAAATTTATGTTACTATAAAAACTCCCTCATGATGAACAGCAAACGAGGATGCCACGTTGGAGTGTGTGTTGTGGGCGGTGGGCGGGGCTCATTCTTCATCAGAGGAGTGACTCACTCCCCAGGTGTGCCCCTTTGCTCCTGCAGAATCACAAATTACTATAGCAATGGAGCAACTTCTCATAAATAGCTAACATTGAAAATAGTAAACTTACGAATGCTAAAGGTCTGCATTAGTCTTTCCCAAACTGGCTTCAGAGGAGCATTAGAGTTCCTCAAGTTGATAATACGTATTTTGCAAAATAAAAGGTTCTGTTGTAAAATAAGTTCAAGAAACACTTCAAATTGTATCTTTCTCTTGGAAAGTTCATAAAACACACCAACATTACAGCTTCCGAATCCTACTGAACTATACAAACCCTTCGCAAACCACCTAGTATTACTAACAATACATAGAGTACTAATGTTCTACAGAATATCATTTAGGAAAGAATATTTTTTTTTTTTTTGAAACAGGGTCTTGCTTTTTCGCCTAGGCTGAAGTGCAGCTGCATGATTACAGCTCACTGCAGCCTCAACTTCCCGGGCTCAGGTGATTCTCCTCCTCAGCCTCCTGAGTAGCTTGGTACCACAGGTGGTTAAATTTTGTAGCAACGAGGTTTCGCCATGTTGCCTAGGCTGGTCTCAAACTCCTGGGCTCAAGGGATCTTCCGGCCTTGGCCTCCCAAAGTGCCGGGATTACAGGCATGAGCCACTGCACCCAGCCATTTGGGAAAGATTGATCTACATGATTTCTGTGGAGCTGATTTCCTGTATTAACCGGATAAGAGGATATGAACAGCTTTTTAGTTCTTGTTCTATGTGTCTGCCAATGGATTCAAACAACAATATGTAAGTACTTAGGACTGTGTTTCTATGACTAACAGGTTTCCTCTTGACTATGAATGTGGCTCACGCTATATGATTGATTAATAGATGAACATCATATGAGATATTGTTAGTTGACTAGTTTAACATAGTGGTTCTGAAAGTGTGGTCCTGTACCAGAAGCTTCTGAATCACCTGAGAACTTGTTGGAAATTCAAATTATCAGCCCGGGCAACATAGTAAGACCCTGTCTATAGAAATAAAAAAAATCAGCCATACATGTTGGCAAGTGGCTGTTGTCTCAGCTACTCTGGAGGGTGAGGTGGGAAGATTGCTTGAGCTCCTGAGTCTGAGGCTGCAGTAAGCTCTGATTATGCCACTACACTCGAGCCTGAGTGACAGAGACCAACCCCATCTCAAAAAATTGCAAATTCAGGCCCCACACGCATTAATTAGAAACTCTAGGGAGTTACGTTTTAGCAAGCCTGCTGGTTAATTCTAATACATGCTAAAGTTTGAGAACGCCAGTTTAACACAGCCTAAGACATCTGCTTTCTGCTTAGAAGGGATAACAGGGACCAGATTTACCCTCCTACCTGAAATGACTGAAAAGCTAGACAGAATATACAAAACAGTGGTTCTCAGATATTGAACATGAGGCAGCACAGGACAGTCATCCCTGAGAAACAGTAAATAAGTGATTACTGTGAGTCGGCCAACTTACTACCTGGGGAGAGTTTCCAGGGTGATGTCAGGGAGAGGAAAGCCAGGAAGATCCTGGCCGTCTCTTTGAGTTAAGGAGATGGATTAGGAGTCCAGGGAGACCAAGGTGGCTAGAATCTGCAGGGCAGAGTGCCAGACAAGAGAGAGCTACAGAGAAAGAAAAATCCAGAGAGCTGCAGAGGGTCCCCTCAGGTTTTTTATTGAGTACTAATCAGGGCATGACTTTTAGGAAACTAGCTGAGGCTAGAGAAAGACCCACCCAACCACCCAAATGGATCAGAGGAAATAATCTCTACAGCCTACAGAGGGCTGGGGATAGTTTTAGTTCCCACCAGCCAGAGAGGATAAACCTTCTAGTTCACAGAACAAAGGTAGAGAACTCATCAGGTAGAATACTCAGAGGGTATTATTGCCTCGGTAGAGGAGCAAAGTTAAGGGCTTCCCCGATCCTGAATAATAAAGCTTAAAATTTTGAAAGGCTCAAACTATCTCTAAATAACATAATTGCATCCCAGAACAAAGCTCAAGAATATTGATAGAAAAATTCATAATGACTGGTATCTAATAAAAATGTACCTGGCATACAAAGAAACAGGAAAATACAATCCACAATGAGGGGCAAAATTGATAAATAGATCCAGAAATGATACAGTTAATAGAATAAGTAAACAAGGACATTAAAACAGTTATAGCTATATTCCATAGAAGTTCATATGATAAAGTAGAGAAATCCTTGTGTATGTTAAGCAGATACATGGGATATATATTTTTAAAAGACCCAAATTGAACTTCTAGAGATAAAAATACAAGGTCTGAGATGAAAAATGCAATCTATTAAGATATACAAAATAAAATACTAACTTAAAGACATAGCAACACAAACTATCTGAAATGAAACACAGAGGAAAAAAAATGGAAAAAAATGAATAGAGAATTAGTGAGCTGTGGCATAATTTTTTTTTTTTTTTTTGAGATGGAGTTTTGCTCTTGTTCCCAGGCTGGAGTACAATGGCGCGACCTCGGATCACCGCGACCTCGGATCACCGCAACCTCCGCCTCCTGGGTTCAAGCCATTCTCCTGCCTCAGCCTCCCGAGTAGCTGGGACTACAGGCACATGCCACCATACCCAGCTAATTTTTGTATTTTTAGTAGAGATGAGGTTTCACCATGTTGGCCAGGCTGGTCTCAAACTCCTGACCTCATGTGATCTGCCCACCTCGGCCTCCCAAAGTACTGGGATTACAGGCTTGTCTCAAACTCCTGACCTCAGGTGATCTGCCCACCTCGGCCTTCCAAAGTGCTGGGATTACAGGCTTGAGCCATTACACCCAGCAGCTGTGGGATAATTTTAAGTGACCTAATACATACACTTAAAGTCCCTAAAAACGGAGGGCAGAAATGATATTTGAAGAAATAATAACCGAAAAAGTTCCAAATTGCGTGAAAACTATAAATCTACAAATCCAAGAAATTCAACAGACCCCAAGAACAAGAAACATAAAAACTACACCAAGAAACAGCATAATCATACTGCTTAACCATTTTCCCATTTAGAAAAAGTGCAGCTCGCTGCCAGCGCTCATTTAATTTTACGTAAACACGCTCTTGAAGGCTGAAGAAAATCTCACTGATTTTCAATGTGAAAATAAAATATGAAAACCGTTCATGAAGCTATTTCTAAACAGAACTAATGTCAGAATCATCCAAATCATCAGAACTGTCTATTTCAGAAAAATCGGATTCATCAAATGAATCTTTGACCAATGACCGTTCAAGAACAACATTAACATCACACGAAGGAATGCTGCATTTTCTAGGATTTGACATTTTCAGTGATTGAGAATTACCATATTTTGTAAATGGGAGTATCAGTACTAAAAACAGAATGCTATAAATAGAATGATGTCTTTTGTTTCCAAAGTTGATATACTAGAGTGATGCAAAAATAATAATAAAAGCGAGATTTTCATGGCAAAACTATCTTGGGTAAACGCTGCAGCTGCAAGCGCTGCCAGTGAGTATTCTCAGCACAAACAGGAAAAGGTTAAAGCCAGTGATAATGAGAAAATCTGAAAAGCAGCCAGAGGGAAAATGCCACAGAGGAAAAAACCCAAAATGGTAAGATTGACAGCAGAATTCTTGTGGGGAACAATGCAAGCCATCAGACAGTGGAGCAATGTCTTTAAAGTGCTGAAAGAAAAAAAATTTGTCAACTTAGAATTCAAAAACCAGGCTAGGCATGGTGGCTCATGTCTGTAATCCCAGCACTTTGGGAGGCCGAGGCGGGTGAATCATGAGGTCAGGAGATCGAGACCAGCCTGGCCAACATGGTAAAACCCCGTCTCTGCTAAAAATACAAAAATTAGCCGGGCATGGTGGCGTGTGCCTGTAGTCCCAGCTACTCGGGAGGCTGAGGCAGGAGAATCACTGGAACCTGGGAGGCAGAGGTTGCAGTGAGTGAAGATCGTGCCACTTCACTCCACCCTTGGGCAAGAGAGCAAGACTCTGTCTCAAAGAAGAAAAGAATTCAAAAACCAGTAAAAATATCTGTCAGTAATGAAGATAAAATAAAGTTTCTCTCAGACATATGAAAGCTGAAAAAAATCATCACAGCCGACTTGAACCAAAAGAAATGTTATAAAGAAATCCTTCAGGCAAAAGCAAAATGATACTAAAAAGGAATCTGTATCTGCAAAAGGAGCAAGGAGGAGGCAGAGTAAGATAGCTGAATAAGCTCACCAGTGATCATCCCCCCGCAGGAACACCATTGTGAACAACTATCCACACAAGAAAACACCTTCATAGGACCCAAAACATTCAAAGCATGCTATCTAGTGCCTTGAGTGAGTGATCACACTACCTGGTTTGAACATAATATCAAAGAAAGAGGTATTGGCTGGGTGCAGTGGCTCACACCTGTAATCCCAGCACTTTAGGAGGCTGAGGTGGGTGGATCACCTGAGGTCAGGAGTTCAAGGCCAGCCTGGCCAACATGGTGGAATCCCATCTCTACTAAAAACACAAAAATTAGCTGGACGTGGCAGTGCATGCCTGTAATCCCAGCTACTTGGGAGGCTGAGGCAGGAGAATTGCTTGAACCCAGGAGACAGAAGCTGCATGCAGTGAGCCAACTGCATTCCAGCCTGGTAACAGAGTGAGACTCTGTCTCAAAAAAAAAAAATAAAATAAAATAAATAAAAAAAGAGGCACTGAAGAGGGTGGGAAGGCCAGCCTTGCACTACCTGCATTACTCATCCCCCAACTCTAGGCAGTGCAGCATGGAGAGAGAATCTGTGTGCTAAGAGAGGGAGAGCAAAGAGAGTGTGGAACTTGGCGTTGGAACTCAGTGCTGCCCTATCATAACAGAACATAGCACAGGGCAGAATCCTTTCAGTGCCCACAGAGGGAGCATTTAGACCAGCCCTGGGCCAGTGGAGAATTCCTTGTCCCAGTAGGAGGAACTGAAGTCTCAGCTGCCTTTACCGCTGGCTAACAAAAGAGGCCTGGGACCCAGAGTACATGTGAGTGGCAGTCAGGCCACAAGGACTGCCGTCTTAGGGCAAGCCCTGGTACTGCACTGGTCTGGGAGGCAGGGGACTTGGCGTACAATCCTGTGCAACACTAGCTGTGGTAACTAAGGGAGTGTCTGTGTCGCCCCTTTCCCAATTCCAGGCAGCGCAGCTCTGGGAGAGACTCCTATCACTTGGGGGAAGGAGAGATGAGAGCACAGAGAACTGTGTCTTGCAACTTGGGTACCAACTCAGCCACAGTAAAATAAAGAATCAACCAGATTTCTAAAGCCCTGGATTCTGGGTCTTTGCTTCTGGCCAGTGTTTCTAGACCCACCCTGGGCCAGAAGGGAATCCACTGCCCTGATGGGATGGACCCAGTCCTGGCAGAATTCACCACCTGCTGACTAAAGTGGTCCTGGGCATTGAATAAACATCAGTGGCAGTCAGGCAGTAGTGGCTGCAGGCCTTGGGTGAGCCCCACTGCTGTGCTAGTCCACAATGCTTCAAGTGTGACCCTGCACAGTGCTAGCTATGGTGGCCATGGGAGTGTCCATGTTACTCCTCTCCCAACTCCAGGCAGCTCAGCATGGAGAGAGACTCCTGACTGGAAAAAGAGAGGGAGGAGAGCAAGAAACTGCCTGGTAACTTGGAGAATTTTCCTTTATCTCACCCAAATCCACCAAGGCAGTGTATCTAGGAGTCTGCAAGAATCGCACACAGCCTTCCTGGGCTTAAGGTACTCCTAGTGTTGAAACAGCTGCAGTGACTGCAGGCTTAGGTCACAACACTCAATCCCCTTTGAATTTCTGGAAAGCCCTCTCAAGGAGAATGAGTACAAGGAAGCCCAGACTATGAAGTTTGAAATAAATATCTAACTCTTTAATGCTGAAACATCAACCAACATCTACAAGCACCAAGAATATCCATGAAAATATGACCTCACCAAACACAGCAAACAAGGCACAAATGAGCAATCCTGGAGTGAGGGAGATACGTGACCTTTCAGGCAGAGAATTCAAAATAGCTGTCACAGCTGGGCATGGTGGCTCACACCTATAATCTCAGCACTTTGGGAGGCCAAGGTGGGGAGGTCACTAAGGTCAGGAGTTGAAGCCCAGCCTGGCCAACCTGGCAAAACCCTTTCTCTACTAAAAATACAAAAATTAGCCAGGCGTGGTGGTGCATGCCTGTAATTCCAGTCACTCGGGAGGCTGAGGCAGGAGAATCACTTGAACTCAGGAGGTGGCGATTGCAATGAGCTGAGATCATGCCACTGCACTCCAGAGTGGGTGATAAGAGTGAATGAAACTGTCCAAAAAAAAAAAAAAAAAAAAGCTAGCTTGCGCTAGCTCAGTGAACTTCAAGATAACACAGAGAAGGAATTCGGAATTCAATCAGAGAAATTTAACAGAGACTGAAATAATAAGGCAAAGTCGAGCAGAAATTCTGAAGCTAAAAAATTCAATTGACAAACTGAAAATGTACCAGTCTCTCAATAGTAGAATTGATCAAGCAGAAGCAAGAATTAGTGAGATGAAAAACAGGCTATATGAAAATACATGAGGAGAAAACAGAATAAAGCACGCCTACAAGATCTAGAAAATAGCCTCAAAAGGGCAAATCTAAGGGCAAATCTAAAACCTCTCTACATCTAAAGAGGGTGTACAGAGATAGATCTGGGTAGAAAGTTTATTCAAAAGCCATGTGTTAATGAAAAGCCATATACATAAAAAATAGATAAATATAATTTTTAATTTAAAAAATCTGTTTAAAAGATAATTGACTTTTTGAATTTTTTATTTTTTAGATACAGTCTTGCTCTGTAACCCAGACTGGAGTACAGTGGCATGATCACAGCTCACCGCAGCCTTGAACTCCTGGGTTCAAGCAATCCTCTTATCTCAGCCTCCCAAGTAGCTACGACTACAGGCGTGCACCACCACGCCCAGCTAATTTTTGTACTTTTTGTAGAGACAGGGTCTCACTAACTAGTCAGGCTGGACTCAAACTCCTGACCTCAAGCAATCTTCCTGCCCTGGCCTCCCAAAGTGTTGGGATTACAGGTATGAGCCACCACGCCCAGCATGATCGACTGTTTAACAACAACAAAAAAATTAACAATATATGCAATGTATTGGAGAGTTTCTAATGTATATAAAAGTAAAATGCATGACAATAATAGTACAAAGGCCTGGAAGTGGGAACAGGGAGTATATTGTTGTAAGGTTTATATACTATATGTGAAGTGGTATATTATTACTTGAAGATTAATTGTAATAGGTTAAGGATGTATATAAACCCTAAAGCAGCCCCTAAAACAAAACAAATAGTAATAGCTAACTATAAGCCATCAAAGGAAATAAAATTGAATCAGAAAATTAATCCAAAAGAGGGCAGAAAATATGAAAAGGGAAACAAAGAACAGATGGGTCAAATAGAAAACAAACAGCAAGAAGGTAGATTTAAATGCAACCATATCAATAAACTCTTAGTCAACACTCTCAGGCAAATAAACAAGTTAACTTTGATCTCCTATCTGCATTACATTTCTGTCAAAAAGTTGTACAGTGAAAGATTAGAAACTTGAACTAATCATGGTTATAACAGCAAAATGATCTTGGCAGGGATTCCTTTTCTGACTTAAGCAGATCACAGAATGATGTCTAGCAAGTTCAGCCAAGAGACACTGTGCTGAAGGCACTTTTCATTTCTTTCTTCACAGAGCACTTACATAACTCAGCTCGCCATAGTGTAACAACAACCCAGGCACAGAGTGCTGGAAAGAGATTTCTGCAGTAACAATTCCCTTTCTCACCAGGCAGAGGCTTAGGAACAGTACTAAAGGGACTTTCCTTTGTCCTCAAGAGACTCAAAAAAAACCTGGAGACCTTTTGGGTCAAACTCTCTTGTTTTAGTCATTGGTATCTGCTCCTTATAGTCCTGCTTGAGGATTACCTGGGCCCACTCGCTACCTCATCTCGTGTCACGCTACCTTACTCCGAACACACAGCTGCCTTCCTTCAGGATCAGCGTCCTGTCTGATGATGTCTTCTTCCTGGAATAGTTTCTCACCTGCCAGTCTTGTTCATTTAGTTAATTCCTTTTCGTCCTTTAGATCTTAATTCAAAAGTCTAGGCCGGGCATGGTGGCTCACGCCTGTAATCCCAGCATTTTGGGAGGCCAAGGCAGGCAGATCACCTGAGGTCGGGAGTTCCAGACCAGCTGGCCAACATGGTGAAACCCCACCTCTACTAAAAATACAAAAAATTTAGCCAGGCGTGGTGGCGGGCACATGTAATCCCAGCTACTTGGGAGGCTGAGACAGGAGAATCGCATGAACCTGGGAGGTGGAGGTTGCAGTGAGCCGAGATCACGCCATTGCACTCCAGCCTGGGCAACAAGAATGAAACTCTGTCTCAAAAAAAGAAAAAAAAAAATCTGTTCCTGCTCCTCCCAGCCCGCTCCCACCCCAGATTCTTATCACATTTTGAAATTATAGACCATGGGATATAATTGCATGGCAGATGGAAGCAAAGACATTGTAAGTGTATTTATCACCTCCTCAGATTAAAATAGTCTAACTTATTTATTATTTATTTATTTATTTATTGCCATTGGGCCCTTCTGCCCCCACATTTTAAGGGAATTTCTGAACTTATTATGCAGGTTGGGGAAACTAGTGGAGGAAAATCTTAAGAAACAGTTAAGCCTAAAGGATCCACATGGATCCGGAAAGCACTAGGGATGAGGAAAAGCTGACTCAGACAAAAGTTGTTGAAATACAATAAATGAAAATGGCAGGGATGTGAGCTAAGGTTGGCATTTTGGTAAAGGATGAGTAATAAGGTGTGCAGAGAGGCACTGGGACAATTAAGGGATGACAAAGCCATTAAGACTGAGTGAAGAGGGACAAGGGAATATCCAGATGTGTGTCTGTAGGTTACAAATCGAATCCCCTTTGGCAGTCTTTTGAGAGGCACAATTAAAGTTGGAAACTGCTCTAGTGGATACAAAGTTTTAGTGGCTTTAAACAAAAAAAAATTATCCCTCATTTATACAAAATGATTAATGAGATTGCCTTTCTCACCTAGGGTCCTTGAGTTTACTCTCTAGAACATCGCTGATTATGGTAGAAAAAAGCAAGAACCTGTTTGACCTTGTCCTGTGTTACTTTAACCCATAACCATAGATGCATTGGTTGCTATATTTGTCTCCAGGAATAGGAAGGCACAAAGAAATTGGACCACAGAGGCGTTGTGGGGGACAGTGGCTAGCTGCTATGACTGCCAATGTCCATTTCCCTTCCTTTTGTAAGGCATCCCAATTTCTTCTGGGGACTGAACCTCTGACCCTCTCAATTCACAAACTTCTCCTGGAATTGGCTCCCCTCCAGCTCTAAGGAAGAGCATGTGACTTAGGCCTGGCCTATCAGAGCACCACATTCCCCTGGCCAGGATTAGTTTAGGAACGTGCATGTGATCTACTTCAGACTAACGAGAGTCACACTAAGAATATTTGTTGGAAGGAGCGAAACACTGTTCTTTTATCACTGGATTTGAACATGAAGATGAAACCAAAATTCAGATGAGTAGGGCTGAAAGGAGAGGCACCAGGTCCTGGTGACACTGTTGGAGCCCCTACAACAACGGGTGCTGCAACTAGCCCTTGAGCCAATGAATACTCACCACCCCCCTTCTTTTTTGGCTTATGTGAATGTGAGTTGGGGTTTTAGCTGCTTAGAATGGAAAGAGTTCTAAACTCTATAGCATTAAACTTATATCTGTGTTACATATGATTAAGACCTAGCTCCATGATTTGCCTTCATGAGGACAGGGACCATGCTTTTTGTTGTTGTTGTTGTTGTTGTTTTCTAGTGTATCCTTGGATAAACACATTGTCTTGTGACTGGTTACTGTCTGTTTCCTTGTTGAACTTTATACTCTCTGCAGGCCAGAAATTTTTGTCTTACTAATCTTGAGTTCCCAGACTAATGCACAAGACTTAAAATAAGAATGAAAAAATACAGGAAAAAAAAAAAAAAAAACCAGAGCAAGGAATTACAATGCCCATTATGAAAAGGCCAATTAACTTGGTTTTTATAAATTGATTTCCCAGATGCATATATTTAATGCCAATACAGTAAAACCTTGTTTCTTATGATAGATTTAGAAAACTGGAAATGAATCAGACATTTATAACTACTGTTATTTTCTTCTTCATTATTTTATATTATCAAAAGAGATAACTTTTCACAAGTAGACTTTTGCACTCCTTTGATCTAAGAAGGCCTAAGGATATGTGTATAAGACTTAGAGTAATGGTTAACATATCATTATACAGTCTATACATTTGCACTATCTGAAGACAAACAATTGAAACATTATGGTATTTACAATGTCAGAAGTTAAGATAGAAATTTAAGCTACATGTTATGTTTCTAGGTTATTTAAAATTCTAACTTATTAAAGACATAAAAGTAAATATCCAGTAAAAGCCCTAAAAAGCCCACAGGTAATTCTAATCCCCACTTATGGATCTGTGCAAGCAATGAGTTTATTCTGAGACCAGGAAAAAAGCTTTTTCATCATTTCCTTTTCCTGCTCAGGAAAAAAAATCATTGTACATAATTTAACAAAGAAAGTAGAATTTTCTACTTTCTACTTTAGTGAATTCCCTCAACCGTCTTTAGTAGTGGGGAGAGAAAGCTGTGTTTTCAGGAAAATGTGGTTTGCCAGGCTCCCTTTTTTCTGTCACGGCAGTGATGGTGAGCAGGCTCCTGATAGGAGGGAAAGCCTTCCTCTTCTCCAGCAAGACTAAACCAAAACTGCATCAAAACCCAAGAAACAAAACCAAACAAAGAGGGAACAAAACAGGACTTCCCTTTGCTAGTTCCTGACATAGTTCTCTCTTGTCTGTTCCACCTGTTTTTTCCCTCCTAAGTGAAATGACCCAGTAAGTTTACCAAGTTGAGTATGTCATGCACAGGAATCTCAGATTTCTTAGGCTGGTTTTATCAATTAATTAATGCATGATGTTGTTGGAAACTGTGGTACTCAATTCCAATTACAATGAACTCTAGAGAATATAAACAATTTTAAAACAAGAAACAGTTTTAATAGACATGGTTAGAAACAGGTTGAAAGGAAACCACATTCATTGACTTTGTGGTAACAAGGAGAAAGGATTAAACTCAGAAGGAAATTCTTTGTTTTTTATGTTAACTTCTAGAGCGATGATTTGAGAATTTGTACAACATGAAAGGAAGTGTTTCTTTGACAGCAGGACAAAAGAAATATGTGGCTTTTAGCTACCATCCAGCTTAACTCTTCCCTCTACAGGAAATAATTATAAACCTGTAGAGTAATTCTTTTTTTAAAAAAGAGACATGGACAAGTATTTACTCTGCAACACAAGAGTGCGTTGTAATCAGATTGTCAGAGGTGTTCAAACCAGAGCGACCCTATCCTTTTTTTTTTTTTTTTTTTTTTTGAGATGGAGTCTCACTCTGTCGCCCAGGCTGGAGTGCAGTGGCACAATCTCGGCTTACTGCAAGCTCCGCCTCCCGGGTTCACGCCATTCTCCTGCCTCAGCCTCCCGAGTAACTGGGACTACAGGCGCCCGCCACAACGCCCGGCTGATTTTTTGTGTTTTTTAGTAGAGACGGGGTTTCACCGTGGTCTCGATCTCCTGACCTCATGATCTCGGCCTCCCAAAGTGCTGGGATTACAGGCGTGAGCCGCCGCGCCCGGCCCAGGGCAACCCCATCTTAAATAGGTGCTGGGTAAAATGAGGCTCAGACCTGCTGAATTGTATTCCTAGGAGGTTACGCATTCTTAGTCACAGGATGAGATAAGAGGTCTGCAGGACTGATATCAAAGGATACAGATAATAAAGACCCTGCTGAGGCAGGGTACAGTGGCTCACACCTGTAATCCCAGCACTTTGGGAGGCCAAGGTGGGTGGACCACTTGAGGTCAGGAGTTTGAGACCAGCCTGACCAACATGGTGGAACACTGTCTCCACTAAAAATACAAAAATTAGCCAGGCATGGTGGCACACACCTGTAATCCCAGCTACTCAGGAGACTGAGGTGCTAGAATCACTTGAACCTGGGAGGCAGAGGTTCCAGTAAGCCGAGATCATGTCATTGCACTCCAGCCCAGGCAACAAGAACAAAACTCTGTCTCAAAAAACAAAACAAAACAAAACAAAAAAAACCTGCTGATAAAACAGGATGCAGTAAAGAAGCCAGCCAAAACCCACCAAAATCAAGTGACCTGTGGTCATCCTCATTGCTCATTATATGCTAATTATAATACATTGGCATGCTAGATGGCACTTCCATCAGTGCCATGACGGTTTACAAGTGCCATGACAATTTCCCGAAGTTACGCTATATAGTCTAAAAAGGTGAGGAACCCTCAGTTCTGGGAAACTCATGAATAATCCCTCAGCTCCGCTAAACTCATGAATTGTTTAACGTATGATCAATAAATAACCATAAAAATAGCCAACCGGCAGTCCTCAGTGTTGCTTTGCCTATGGAGTAGCCATTCTTTTGTTTCCTTACTTTCTTAACGAATTTACTTGCACCTTACTCTGTGGACTCGCTCCAAATTCCTTCTTGCATGAGATCCACAAACCCTCTCTTGGGGTCTGGATCAAGACCTCTTTCTGGTAACAAGATCAATAGCACACTGCAGTTGTGGATATTCTGCTGTGATATTAAATATATTATATAAAATCCTTCTTCATAATGGTATTTACTATAATAATATTTTATTTGTAGTATTAAAAATGCTACAGGATCAATCATTTTTACGTTATTTTATGTGTATCCTACATAGCTAGTGATATGGTTTGGCTATGTCCTCACCCAAATCTCATCTTGAATTCCCACGTGTTGTGGGAGGGACCCAGTGGGAGGTAATTGAATCATGGGGGCAGGTCTTTCCCATGCTGTTCCTGTGATAGTGAATAAGTCTCATGAGCTCTGATGGTTTTATAAAGGGGAGTTTCCTTGGACAAGCTCTCTTTACTTGTTGGCCGCCATGCCTGACGTGCCTTTTGCCTTCTGCCATGATTGTGAGGCCTCCCCAGCCACGTGGAACTGTGAGCCCATTAAACCTCTTTCTTTTGTGAATTGCCCAGTCTCAGGTATGTCTTTTATCAGCAGCGTGAAAACAGACTAATACAGCTAGTATACTGTGGGTACTTGGTATTTGTACCAGATGTATCATAGGTGTTCATTAACTGTTGAATAAAAGAAGGTTGATTTGTTTTAGCAAGCCTGTATTAAATAGTTCCTCTAAATTCTTATGTGTTTTTTTTTTTTTGGTAAGACTTAAATGATAATTTAATGTGTTTATCTCTTCCCAACAATGTACCTAGAGATCCCACAGATGTCTAGAACCCATTTGGCAGCTTTCTTAATATTACATTGAAGCACTATTAAGATTAATTCACCTTTTTTTTGTTTTGTTTTTGAGACAGAGTCTCGCTCTGTCTCCCAGGCTGGAGTGTAGTGGCATGATCTCGGCTCACTGCAAGCTCCGCCTCCTGTGTTCATGCCATTCTCCTGCCTCAGCCTCCCGAGTAGCTGGGACTACAGGCGTCCGCCACCGCGCCAGGCTAATTTTTGTATTCTTAGTAGAGACGGGGTTTCACTGCGTTAGCCAGAATGGTCTCGATCTCCTGACCGCATGACCGGCCGGCCTCGGCCTCCCAAAGTGCTGGGATTACAGGCATGAGCCACCGCACCTGGCACCTTATAATCTTAGAAGCCTTGGATACCAAAATTAATTAATAGTGCTTCCCATGCTTCATATATAGGAAAGATTGATTCTCTATAGGTCACTTTTCCAGAGTGAGTTTTCCAAATTAAAGAGAAAAAAAAGCCTGATTAAGCTTTTATCAACTAATAATTCTCCACATTAATCCATGGGATAAATATTAGAATTAGAATACCTGGCTATTCAATTGTCAGTTCTTTTTTACTAAACAGAAACTTTGAGATGTGTTATTTTAGAAAGGCTCGATAGTGACAGAACTTTTCTCTTAAACTTACAGTGGCCCTGAAATTTGCTACCACTGACTTTAACCATACATATTAAAGGTGTAAGGAGATTGAGATATGTGACAGATTCCATTTCCCAAGGATGGTCACACACTATATCCCATCCCATACGCTCTTACAGGGTAATGTTGATACTCCTCCTATCAAGGGGATAGGATTTATTATTTCTTTTCCTTGATCTAAGAGGCTTGTGACCATGGTAGAAGTGTCCCTACATGACTTCTGGGGTTAAGTCAGAAAAGGTGATATAGCTCTGTCTAGTGCTTTTGGACGCTTGATCTCAAAACCCAACCACCATGTTGTGAGGAAGCTCAGCCACATAGCTGGATGTGGGTGTTCCAGACTGCCACTTTGACTGACATCCCAGATGATAGCCAGAATCAATAGGACCTGTGGGTGAAGAAGCCTTCAAGATGACTCTAGCACCAGAAATTGTCAAACTGCACGGGAAAAAAAATCCAAGAGCGAATTATCCTGCTGAACTGAGTAAACCTCCAGAATTGTGAATTAGTAATAAAAATGATTGTTGTTGTAAGCCCCTAAGGTTTAGGGGGATGCTTTATGCAGCAATAAATAACTGATGTTAAAGCAAACTAAATACGGCTGGAAAAGGACCCCATATTTCTTTTCTTTCTTTTTTTTTTTTTTGAGACTGAGTTTTGCTCTTGTTGCCCAGGCTGGAGTGCAGCAGCGTGATCTCGGCTGACTGCAACTTTCACCTCCCGGGTTCAAGCGATACTCCTGCCTCAGCCTCCCGAGTAGCTGGGATTACAGGTGTGCACCACCACGCCTGGCTAATTTTTGTATTTTTAGTATAGATGGGGTTTCACCATGTTGGTCAGGCTGGTCTCGAACTCCTGACCTCAGGTGATCCCCTGCCTTGGCCTCCCAAAATGCTGGGGTTATAGGCGTGAGCCACTGTGCCCAGCCAGGACTCCATATTTTATATTTGAGTCCTTGTGGATGAACGGCAACCTAACAGACTGAAAACTTAGCATAGGAGTATGCGTCTGTAACAATAGCTGAGTCTTGGCCAATTCCAGCAGTGTACTTCAACCACTCATATGCTGCTGAGTGTTCAAACTGTGTTTAAATAAGGCAAACGCCAACCTGTAGCCAATCCAGCTGTTTCTGTACTTCACTTTTGATTTCTATACATTACATTTTTTGTCTATAAATTTGTTCTGACCACGAGGCACCCCTGGAGTCTCTGTAAATCTGCTGTGATTCTGGGGGCTGCCTGATTCGCGAGTCGTTCATTACTCAAACTCCTTTAAATTTAATTCAGCTAAAGTTTTTCTTTTAACACTGGGATAAGATAAAATGAAGTTCTATTTAATTCCCTGAGTAGGCTTTGTGGTCTAAAGAAATTCAGAGACAGTACTCTCGATTTTTTTGAGAGAAGATTTTCTTCTGATCACATAGCAACAAACTATGGAAAGAGAAGTCAGGCTGGACTGTTAATTATGTAGCAGTCAGAACTCATCTCTCAGTTCAGTCAAGATTACTGGGAAAACCACAACAGCCTGACAAAATTAGGGGGATACTTCCAAAACCTGGGACATAGGAAAAGCCAATTACAAACTACAGATATGCAAAATATGGTATAACTTTTGGTTTTTAAAATGTTCTTTTTTGTACATAATTGGGCTCATCGAGGGCATAGATTTTTTTTGTTGTTGTTCTGTTTTATTCATGTTGTACTCTCAAGGCCTGGGATCATGCCTGGCACAGGGCTCAATAAATATGTCAAATGAATAAATAAATGTAAACACATTTGTCAGAATAAGCACCAAAATTTATTTCTGGCAGATAGGATTATGTGTGAGTTTTTTTTTTTTTTCTATCTTCTTTGTTTTTTTCTAATTTCTCTACCATGATCATAGATTACTTATATAAAATACTTGTAAAAGGCCATAGAGTTTTATTTTAGAGTAACATAAGCTTTAAAATACCTACACATGCACATCTATCCAAATCTATTTCTGAGCAAAATATCCTTTTAGGAAGAATAGAGGCGCATAATAACAGATCTCAAGAGAAGGCTTTGTGTTGTGTGGGCAGGGCTAGAAATACATGAAGATTTTTTTTGGCCACCAAATGACTTCTCTACAGGTGATCATTGAAACACAGATTTCTGTCAATGGTTGAAGTATTTCACTTATTTTATTTTCTTATTATAATCTCTGTATTTAGCTCAGCTGGGATTCCTTTGGTCTGCCAATTTTAAAAAGTTACATCATCACCTTATTCCAAAAAATGCCCCTAAGAGAAAGTCTCTTGCCCTCACAACTGTTCAAATTTAGGATGGAAAATAGATTTTAGTTTGCATGCCAATTTGATTAATTGTACTCACTGGTGATTCTTAGCATACTCTGTGTAAGATCTGAGGTTATAGTTTTACCTGGTGGATTTGCAATGTCTACCATAAATTAAGTAGAGAGGAGAAGAGGCATGGTTGCCTTGTGAGTGCATGATTCAGTGAGTTACTGTTATCTTAATTTGTTGTGTATTAGATGTTACTTCTTTATAAACTATTGATCCTATTTAGCTTCTCAGGGGCCCCCAAAGATGTCCACATCCTAATCCCTGGAATTGGGATAACAGTGAGTCTTCACTGACCTGAGAGATTAGATGATCACTGATATGTAATTGGCAGTCAAGTTTGACTTCTCTTTCCATTGTTGTTGTTATGTAAATATGTCACATGGCAAAGGAGAATTAAGATGGAATAAGTTTGCCAATCAGCTAAGGTAGGGAGAGAAGCCTGGATTACCTATGTGTTACCAGAAAAGGGATCTCATCCCAGACCACAGGAGTGAGTTCTTGGATCTCACATAGGAGAGAATTCAGAGTGAGTCTCAGAATATAGTGAAGTTAAAATAGTTTCTTAGAAAATACTCTATTACAGAGTAGGGCTTGCTGAGAAAGCAAGAGGAGGAATGTCCCTACCTCAGACATAAGGCTTACTTACATGGGATATTAAGGCTAAGAATAGTGTACTTTATTACAAAAGGTTGTGTTGAGCTTATGACAGACTTAGTATTACTATTCTCTTGTGCAATTATTACTTTTAGCAAGAATTTATGAGGATACTATTACCTTTAGAGGGAAACCTATTTTTAAACTAAGAATGCCTTTTCCCATTAGCTCGTTTCCTCAACCATAAACATCTTGTGATCAATAACGCCTAACTTCCTGGAAATGTAACCCAGCAGGTCTTGCTTTATCTGGCTTTTATTCAAGGTGAAATCACTCTGGTTAGGATGTCTCTGACATAGGTGGGCACATTGTAATCACAGGGTCCTTAGAAGTGGAAGAGGAGCCGGGTGCAGTGGCTCATCCCTGTAATCCCAGTGCTCTGGGAGGCTGAAGCTGGGGGGATCGCTTGAGACCAGGAGTTCAAGACCAGCATGAGCAACAAAGAGCTCTCCCCCATCTCCCGCCCCTTGTTCCTCCCACCTCACCATCCCCCTCCCCCAGGCTCTACAAATGTTAAAAAAAATTAGCCAGGCATGGTAGTGCACCTGTGGTCCTAGCTACTTAAGAGGCTGAGGTGGGAGGATTCCTTGAGCCCGGGAGGACAAGGCTGCAGTGAGCTATAATCACACTACTGCACTCAGCCTGGGTGACAGAGCAAGACCCTGTC
Source organism: Homo sapiens (assembly GCF_000001405.40). NCBI lineage: Eukaryota > Metazoa > Chordata > Mammalia > Primates > Hominidae > Homo > Homo sapiens. The sequence goes on from NC_000012.12 coordinate 76,908,686, forward strand.
TCAAAAATATAAATAAATAACAATGAAAGTGGAAGAGGAGACACAAAAGAAGTCAGAGGGACTCCTTTTGTGACAACAGGAAAGAGACCCAGAGAGTTGGTAGCATAAGGACGCTGCTTGACATTGCCAGCTCTGAAGACTCATGGAGGGAGCCAAGAGTTAGGGACGGAACTCTAGAAGCTGGAAAAGGCAAAGAAACAGATTCTCCTCTTGAGTCCTCAGAAAGGGATGCACCCTGTTGGCACCTTGATCTCAGCCCAGTGGGATCCATGTCAGACTTCTAATGCACAGAACTATAAGATAATAAACTGGTATGTTTAAGCCACCAAGTTTCTGGTAATTTATTAACAGCTGCAAGACAAAACTAATTCACAAAATATGGCTTATTCTACCTTTAAAAAGGAAAATGTGACTCAGTCCTCTCCCAACTGCTGATCCATTGGCTTTTCTGGATGCTACTTTCAAATTCATTGCTAGTTTCTTCTCATAATTGTAGGATCGAGTCTCTCAACCTAAATATTACTTTTAGTGGCAAAAACTGCAATTACTTTTGCACCGACCTAATATGTTGTAGTAAATTGTATGAGAAGCAAGCAGCTTTTATCATTGCTGATAAATGGCCTTTTAATCTCCCTTCTTTCCAAATAATTCTTGTCTATCTAGTCAGACCACAAGTCATTAAGCAATTAAAAGACAATATAAAATAAAGCATTTGAAATTCAAGCACTCTAGGCCAGGCATGGTGGCTCACGCCTGTAATCCGAGCACTTTGGGATCGCTGAGCACTGATTGCTTGAGCCCAGGGGGTGGAGGTTGCAGTGGGCTGAGACTGGGGCACTGCACTTCCAGTCTGGGTGACAGAGCAAGACTCTGTCTCAAAAAGAAAAAACAAACAAACAAAAGAAATTGGAGCGCTGTAATGTAAAAAAGGAGAGAGGTTAATATTAGCTAGAGTTACTAGCTATGGCTTTAAGGAAAAACTATAATCACTGAATATCAGATTTATAAAAAATAGTTATTAAAAGAACCAACTATCAGTTCATAAGCATTATCTTATATAATTGATAGAACAACCTTATAAAGTAGGAATTATTGTCTCTATTTTACACATGAGGATATCAAGGTCTAGTCTAGGAATTAACTTGTTCAAGTAGGATTATAGAAGTTCTTTGGATACAGTTAGATAATATTTTCCTTTGGGGTAAAAAGATTTGATTTCTGACCTGTTCTCTCAAATCTGTAGTTTAATGACATGATACACTTTTTGAAACAGTGGGAATATGTAGATGGTTGCTTTAATCTCAGGAACTATGATTGCTTTTTAAGAGGCAATAGCCCTAATATTTAGTAATAACCAAAGCAATGTCTATAGCAATGCTTCTCAAATTATGTGGCATTTTAGGAGCACCCGAAGAACTTTAAAGAGTCCCAATGTCCAGGCTACACTCCACACCAGTTAAATGCAAATGTTTGAAGTGGATTTAGACCTCAGTGTTTTTTTTTAAAGCATCCAAGGAAATTCCAAGTTTGGGAACTCTTGATCTATAACCAGGGATTGCATTTTTGTTAGTTTTCTCCCCAGCATTTAACTGGTTTATTGTATGTAATATTCAGTTACATGAGATTACATTTTTTTTTAACCACCCTGTTTTGAGGAGTCACCAGAAAGTTGTTTCTCGAGATTAGAAGCTTAATGAAATTCAGGTTGTGTTCAACTATAGATTCATTTTTAATGGGTTTTGGATTTCTGAGCCTGCTGGTGATATTTCCTAACATTTTTTCTTAATTTGTGTGACATATATATATATATATATATATATATATATATATATACACACACACATTTTTTTTTTCCGTTTGGAACCCTTCCAATGCCTTCACTCTCTGTACTTTCTCTATTTTTTTTTCCCCCTGTGGATTTCATCTGACTGGAAGTACTTTTTCTATTTATATCGCTAGTACATGTTTAAAGAATGTCTATCATTCTAGTCTATTACTATTAAGTTGGTCATATTATACTGACATTAAGACAAAAACTCAGAAGCAGGAAAACCTTTTAAACTGTACGTAAATAAAGGAAATCCAAACAAAGACACTACCAGTCTTGTGATCTGAGTTCCTACAGAAAGGGTAGAAAACTCATATCCCAATGGGGCCAGTCAGGAAGTCTAAATAAATGAAATGGATCAGTGTTTGAGGAAAGAATGAGAGGGAAAAAGATAGAGAAGGAAGCTAGAGAAAGAGGGAAGATAGAATAAATAATGTCCATTGTTGCCAGATTTTCCAATTTTTAATGAAAGGCCAGTTAAGCGTCTATATATATTTTTAATGTCTGCTCAAAAAATCTTAAACCACTGTGTTATTCAAACAAAATATGTCTGTGCTTGGAAGTCAATCCACTGGCCTCCCATATGCAACATTTTAAGCACAGACAGTAGTGCATCTAAAGGGGTGAGCAGCCTCACATGAGTCTCCTTGGAATCTAGCCTTAAGTAGAATGATAGCAGATGATGCAATCCTAATTTTCTTTTTTTGAGATGGGGGTCTCACTATGTCACCCAGGCTGGACTAGAACTCTTGGGCTTAAGGGATCCTCTTGTCTCAGCTTTTCAAGAAGTTGGGACTACAGAAACACGCCACTGGACCTGGCTGTCTGATTTTCTTTTTAATTTGAAAGAAAAGATCATTGGCTCTGTGACATCAGCAATGAATTAAGATTATTTAATGTGACTATTTATCATGCTTTGTTTATATTACAGCATGATAAAATATATATATTTTCTGAAGCATAATCGTTTAATCTTATGACTAGGGATACTATCATAATACAACAATTCTGCATTAATTAGTGTAATTGCCTGGAGTACTATTTTGTTTGTTCTGTGTAGCTAACATTTATTCTCTATTAACAGTATCGATCAGTAAAGAATTAGGGAACGAAGACTAATCCATGGCTATAAAAGCTGTCTTGGAATTGTGATGACAGTGGCTTTTGAGGTAGAACAGTTATTGAGGGACAGGATTTAAGAGTGAGCAGAAGGATAAGAGTCCAGGAAAACTGAGTTCATACCTGATGGTGGGAAACTGGTGGAGTTATTTACTTAAAAGAGGCTTTAATATGAATGGGGGAATTCAAGATTCCATTTTTATGAATATTTTTATCTCTTGCTTTAGTCATTATCTATTAAACTTAAAGAAGACATTCCTTCTTTCTTCGTTGTCTTATTATTGGCAAAACGTGTAGAACAAATTCACCATTTCTCTGAGATTCTTCCCCTATGCCCTTCAGCTTTTGTTTCCTTTGTGCTAGATTACTAGAATTACAGTAATAGTAGACATTGGCTGTAGTTGATGATTTCTGATATTCTAAAGAGTGTTAAGATGCATTACCTGCAAGCCCCCATGGCTGGAAGCATAATCTTTTTTTCTTTTTTTCTTTTTGCTTAGCCACTGACTTGCAAAATGTGATTTCTCAATAAATTTATTGCCACTTTCCTTTTAGCTCTACCCTCTGGTTAGTTTCCTGAAGTTTGCTAACAGTAAACTCTTTATTCCACAAAATAAAAGTAATACGCAAAAAGGCCAGTTTATTTTAACTCCCTGTGTAACCAAGGTGAAAAAGAAGTGATGATAATAATCCCTCATTTTCTAATATCATAAAATTTGATAGCTGGCAGGGATTAAAAACATAGCTGGTTGAGCTCTTCTGTTTACAGGGTGGGCTAGTGATTTGGCAAGGTCACACACCTGGGCAGTGGAGGTGCTGGGCCCTAACCCTCAGGTCTTGACCTGCACTTCATTGTAAAGCTCCTCCAGGTTTTCAAGGCATTTCCACATTTGGTCCTTCATAGGCAGGGTGGGAATTACTAACTCATTTTAGAAATGATTAAACTGGGTTTCCAAGGGATGGAAATATATTCAAGGTCAAATCATTAGAAGCCAGAGTTCTTCATCATATCCAGAAGCTCTCAAAGGTTGAGAATGCCTAAGCCAGTTCCATTTCTTAAGTCTCCCAATATCTTTAAAAATGAAGAAATGCCAAGCAGGATCACATTTATTTGAAATGCTTACATTTAACAAGCCAACTCTTTTAACATGACTCCCAGCCTTCAAGGCAACTGTAAGTTCACCTGGACATAATGTCTAAAGTCTACCTTTCAGACTTTAGTGAATATGAGGGCCAGGTTAAATTGTCCTTGTGGATGAATCCTGACTTTGTGGAGGGGGATGTGATCTTTGGTGGGGGAAGGAAGGAGAGAGAAAGAAAAAGACAGATAAATGGAAAGACAGTGAGACCATAGCACCATCATCTGATACCATAGCACCTGCCAAAAATAAAACACTCAACACTTTGGGTTTCTTATATAGCTCCATAATTTCTATGCAGAAGAGGTAACAGTAGTTGCAATCTTTGTCTTGAAGCTTCATTTGCATAGTTCTTTAAGATTAAGGATAATTTATCAAAAAATGAAGATGTGGGTGGGGGTAGTAATTGGCAGAGATTATTAGGCATGGATGAAAGGGTGGGGTACAATGAGAAATAGATATTTGGCATTTGTTCCCAGTTCCTGGCATACAGTCCTAAAACCCTTGGAATCTCTGCAATGCTAAGAGTGATTTTTGTTATGTTAGTGAGATGGCTGGTGGCTGAGGACCCCTAAATAGCTTCAAGATAGGGACTGCTTGACAAAAAGACCAAGGCATGATCTTGGGGAGGGGAGAGGGACTGGAGGTTGAGTTTAATCACCAATGGCCACTGATTTAATCAATCATGCCTACATAATAAAAACTCCATAAAAAACCTAAACAACAAGGTTCAGATGGCTTCTGGGTTGGTGAACAAATCAAGGTGCTGGGATCCGGGAGAAGGCGTGGAAGGTCCTCATCCCTTCCCTATACCTGAACCTATGCATCTTGTCCACCGGGCTGTTCCTGAGTTACACTCTATAATAAACCAGTATTAGTAAGCAAAACACTTTCCTGAGTCCTGTGAGCTGTTCTAGCAAGTTATTAAACATGAGGAGGGGATTATGGGAACCTCGATTTTATAGCCTATCAGAAGCGTCAATGGCAACTGGAGACTTTTGACTGGTGTCTGAAATGAGGGCAGTCTTGTGGGACTGAGCGTTACTCTGGGGTCTGAACTAATGCTGGGTAGTTAGTGTCAGAATTGAATTGTATCCTAGAACACCCAGTTGATGTCTGGAGAGTTGGAGAATTTGCTGGTATGGGAAAAATCCCGCACACATTTGGTGTCGAAGTGTTGTGAGTGAAAACCGTTCAGGGGGGTTGGGTGGGAAAGAGCATCTAAATGATCCTTGACTCTCTCACCTGTTTTTAATTCAGTGTAGACTGAACCACCAGCTGACTTCTTTTAAAGGGAAAGGAATTAAATCTCAGCCCAGACATGGGATATTTTCCTTTTCCCCTTCATTTCTTCCTCCCTCCCTGCTTTCTCTCCTCTCTCCCTCCATCCCTTCTTTCCTTCCAAATATATTTATCAAGCATTTATTATGTTCTAGGCCTTGGGCTATGGAGTTGAGCAGGACCCACAAGGCCCTACTCATATGGGGCTTAGAGTCCACTAGGGAAAAAGAGAACAAAGAAATGACATAATATAAGTAATCAATAATATAATGAAACCAAAAGTAAGATGGTGAAATAAAAAGTAATTGCTACAGTAGGATAGGCAAATATTTCCTAGTTTCCTGGGATACCTCACTTATCCTTTTTACTCTGATAAAGCATTGGGCAGAGACAGTAAAATTTTCATCAGCCATTCCAGGTAAAGCAGCAGCATGCCAGGATTGACATGTACGTACACACAGGTATAAATATGCACACTTGAGCATATAAACACAAATGCATGAGGCAATATAACATGACTGATCAACAACAGAACAAAATCAGGGCCGGGGCAGTGGTTCATACCTGTAATCCCAGCACTTTGTGAGGCCAAGGCAGGCAGATCACTTGAGGTCAGGAGTTCAAGGCCAGCCTGGCCAACAATAGTGAAACCCTGTCTCTACTAAAAAAAAAAACACAAAAATTAGTCAGGTGTGGTGGTGCACCTGCAATTCCAGCTACTCATGAGGCTGAAGCATGAGAATCACTTGAACCCAGGAGGTGGAGATTGCAATGAGCTGAGATCAAGCCACTGCACTCCAGCCTGAATGATGAAGTGAGACTCTGTCTCAACAACAACAAAAAACAAAAACCAATAGAACAAAATCAGAACTTGGTCAGATAGTCTCTTGGAGGAAGTTCCTTTGGGAAGTTATGCCAGTATTACATTGAAGATGCTATTACTAAAACAGCTTAAAAATTCTCTTTTGTGATTGCCTGTGATTAAGTACTCTATGATAGTTTCTTTTGAAGGAATTTCCAATCCTAGCAAAATGTTTTTAAAGATGAATTTAAATTTTGTCAGAAACCAAATATGTTTGGGGGTCATTTCTGGATAACATCTTTTTGGTTTACAAACCAAGTGTGAAGCAAATCTAAAAATATTTTGAACTGGGGGTGTGAGAGAGGCAAGCATAGTAGTTGGAATAAATGTGTCTTTTTTGAAGATGTGGTTATCTTGAGGGAAGCAACATTTTATTTGAATAAGTAAATTTAGATGTATTTGCTATAAATCTGTTTTGTTTATGCAAAGTAATACTTCTTAATATTTGGCTAGACAAACCCAGATTTCTATAAAACAGAAGTTAGCTGCTTTAGAGATCACCAACATACTACTTTCGTTTCATTTTTGCTTTATTTCTAGCAAAGCCCACTAAAGGGATTCTGTCCTCTTTTTACTGACTGTGGCCTTAGATAAAGAATTCTTCAAATTCTCTCCTCTTTACCATCCCTGGCTCTTTCCACATCAAGCTGCAAAGCCTAGGAACATAGTGAAAACTGGTAGAAATGTCTCACTGTGCAGAAATTCTCATAGTTTTCAAGGCATTTGCTGGTTTTGTTACTCTAAAGCCTCATAAAATAGGCAGGGTAGAAATTATTGTGCCATTTACAAATGATTAAACTGGTTCTCTGAAGATGTGGAACTGTATACAAGGTTACACAACTGTAGCATGAAATTGGGTAGATTATTTCTATAGTCCCATATCAATTCTATAGACTCTCTAGAAGGACACTTTGCTGAAGGCTTGGAGAGAACTTGGAGAAAGCTCACGTCTGGTTTTAAAATTTGGGATATTTTTATCATGTTTATCATCATTTGTTCAAATAACTTCAAGAGTTTTATGTGTTTGTGTTTCAGTGTTTACGAAATCATGCAGCTATTTTTAAATGGTTCGGTATTTATTTTGGACTGTAATCCAGATTCTGCTCACAACCGCTGTTTTTCACTGGTCAGCTCTTTCAGTGTTGTTAGCTGTTTATCACGATTATGATCAGTTTAGGAGAGATTTGAGGACAACTCAGTAATTATTGATGTCTTTGCTATTCATCATTTGATAGATGGTTTTTAAAGAATATTTAAGGAGATAGAACTTGCTACTGATGAACACTCCACTAAAATTACAGTCTTTCTTAAATCACAGGAAAACCATTTTTTTTTTTTTGACATAAAACAGCTCTTCTAAGTGCTGGAATGTGTAATTTAAGGCTCTGACTACTACTTAGTTTTTCAGAGAATTTTCACATATGTTATCTCTACCAAGCCCTATGAGTGGGAAGATAATGTAAATTCCTTCAGTTTTCAGATTAGGAAAAAGCAAGGCTAAATCTGCCTAGTGTCATGTGGACACTAGTGGTGGAACAAGAACCCTAACTAACTCCCAGTTTGCCTTTTGACCAGCCTTTCTACATGCAATGATTGTGGCCAACCAGCTAATGTTTCAGTATTTGAGAAAAATAACAGTTTGTATCCTCTCCTGCTGTGCCAAGCCACACTTACCAGCTCCTTTCTATCTTTGTCCACATAAAAAAAACCCTCAATCTTAGATTTTATGTGCTCCTTTTGTTCATATATATATTTAAGGTATACAACGTGATGTTTTGAAATATAGTGAAATGGTAACTGTAGTCAAGCAAATTAACATACCCATCACTTCACGTGGTTGCTTTTTTGTGTGTGGGGTAAGAGAACCTAAAACTACTCTCTTAGCAATTATCCTGAGCATGATACAATATTATTATCTATAGTACTCATGTTGTACATTCAATCTCTAGACTTATTCATCCTATACTTGCAAGCTCTTTTTGATTTAAAACATTGGCTGCTCACTAGCCAGAGTCCTCATTATCTGTAATACATATTCCTCCACTTGGTTTTTATTTTATTTAACTCTCTAGTATGCTATTTAGTCTGATTTTTAAAATTCTTCATGTATTCAACCCAAGTTTTGCCAGTATAACTAGGTATGTATGGATAGGGACAGACATATTTTTCCATGTACAACTCAGCTACCTATTTTATTTTTTCCTCAAAGTTTGTTGATTTTGGCTTTGCAAGATCTATATTAAAGGGACAGTTTTCCCCACCCTCTTTCTTATTAATTAAGTCATTCCTTTCCTGAAGTAAAGACCATCAGAAAGGACCATTGCCAGGTGCTGTTTTCTTTTTCTTTTCTTTTTTTTTTTTTTGAGACATTGTCTCGCCCTGTTGCCCAGGCTGGAGTGCACTGGCGCGATCACTGCAAGCTCTGCCTCCTGGGTTCACGCCATTCTCCTGCCTCAGCCTTCTGAGTAGCTGGGACTACAGGCACCTGCCACCACGCCCAGCTAATTTTTTTGTAGTTTTAGTACAGACGGGGTTTCACCATGTTAGCCAGCATGGTCTCGATCTCCTGACCTCGTGATCCGCCCGCCTCAGCCTCCCAGTGCTTGTTTCTTTTTACGTCTCACACTTTTAATTTTTCTCCCTATTAAAAGGATGTCCTTTTGTTTCGAACTGATGTCCAGATTCAAATGAACTGCCTTAGTCCATTTTGTGCTACTACAACAGAATATCAGAGACTGGGTTATTTATTTATTTTTAATTTTAAATTTCTTTTTTTACAAAGACCAGGTCTTGCTCTGTTGACTAGGCTGGTCTTGAACCCCTGACCTGAAGAGATCCTCCTCCCTCAGCATCCCAAAGTGCTGGGATTCCAAGTGTGAGCCCAGCTAAGGCTGAGTCATTTATAAAGAAAAACAAATTATTTGGCTCATGGTTTTGGAGGTTGGGACATCCAAGATAGAGGGTCAGCATCTGGTGAGGACCTTCTTACTGGGTCATCCCATAGTGGAAAGGGGATGGGCAAAAGAGCATGTACCAGAGAATGAGCAACAGGGACCAAACTTGTTTTTATAACAAACCCAATCTCTCTATAACAAACCCACTTCCATGACATTAGTTCATTAATGTCATTAATGTCTGCCTCCATTGCTCTGTCCTCATCACCTAATCATTCCTAAAGATCTCATCTCTCAACACTTGCACTGGGGATTAAGTGTCCAAAACATGACACATTCAAACCATGGCATGACATTTCAAATAACTGTTTTCAGGGCCAGATGTATAATTTGTGGGGTGCAGTGTATAAAAAATACGTGGGGCCCTTTGTTCAAAAAAGAGAATAAAAGTACCATTAAAGGTACTAAACTATAAAGCTTTCTTCTTTAAAGATATTTTACCATTTATAGAACATTAAAGGAGTAATAGTGACACATGAGTAACAACATAAACTTACCAATTACAAAAAGCAGAATATTTTTGGTGTTGTAATTTTTTTTTTTTTTTTTTTTTGAGATGGAGTCTTGCTCTTTCGCCCAGGCTGGAGTGCAGTGGCGCTATCTCAGCTCACTGCAAGCTCCACCTCCCGGGTTCAGGCCATTCTCCTGCCTCAGCCTCCTGAGTAGCTGGGACTACAGGCGCCCGCCACCGTGCCCAGCTAATTTTTTGTATTTTTAGTGGAGACGGGGTTTCACCATGTTAGCTAGGATGGTCTCGATCTCCTGACCTTGTGATCCACCTGCCTCGGCCTCCTAAAGTGCTGGGATTACAGGCGTGAGCCACCACGCCCGGCCTGGTGTTGTAATTTTATATAATAAAATTAATAGTACTACTTTATTATTGTAAAATCTTAATTGATTATAAGACTTTTCTGGCTTGCTTTTCTGCAAATTCATTTATTAGATCATCAAAATTTGTACTTTTCCATCAATCTAATTAAAAGCAATTCTGGTCACTCTTGGCAAATGTAAGATGGCAAATAATTTTTTATAATTTGTAATTTTGATAAGATTCTATTGATGCTACTGTTATGGAGTTATTAAGACTATTTTTTGACTGTGATAACATTGGCATAAATTTCTGATAAATTGTTGTGACACATATATTTTAGTATATCCAGGGCTGATAATTCTTGGGGAACAATTTTTCTAAAAATAATTTAACTCTTCATAAATTGTGTGTTTGAATTTAATTTTTAATGTAAATGTATACAATGGCATTTATTTTTTTCCTCTGGTATTTTCTGTAACTTGCAGAGACCAATACAAGAAACTAGATAGAGGCTTTATGTTATGTATATAATTGAAAATGCCCTTTTATGAATTCTATTGCTGTATCTTTAATTACAAGAACAAAATTAATTTAAAAACTGTTTCCCTTGTTAATAATTGTTTCAGCCAAAGCTTCATATGAAAATAGAAGTCTCTCTCACTGAATGTGACAATTTTTGAGTGTAATTTCCCTTTTTAAGCCTGTAGATATTTACTTTGCAATATTGCAGCAGTTTTCAAAAGCAGAGATTCTAAACTCTTTCAATAATTCTAATCCCTGACATGCTCCAGTTCCATGTCCATGTGTACAGACTTTTATTTTGTAATAATTTACTGTCGAAATTTACTGCCTGAGTGCCCGCAATTATAGTCCCAGCGCTCTAGGTAGAGGGAGAGTTAATATTTGTGCAGATGTGGCAAGGACAGGCTCTGGAGACACAGGGCAAGCTGGCTTTCCTCTGCAGGTGCTGCATTTATACAGAGCCCATTCTCTCTCCTGTATCTGCTGCCATTTCTCCTGCTCCACTACTTCTGCTGCTGCTGTCACTGTTGCTATTGTCAATCTTGGGCCAGGTCCCAGCTCGGTTGTCCCCACAAGCCCCCTGGACTTCCCAGAGGGACTGCCGTGCATGCCTGCTGCCCGCCGGGCTGGTGGTGGTGAGCCCTTTGTGGATGGGCTGCTGGACCACAACAGGTTGCATGCAAAGTGGTCCAGCATCTAGCCTCTAGTTATGCGCATGTGTCACTGTCCCCTCAGCCTTCACCACAGAACACAAGTTCAAAGATAAAATAGTAAGAGTTTTAAGACACCAGGACAGAGCATTAAGCCAAGTGCAGGCCTTGCGCAAATGCAGACTACAAGCCCTTGAAGCCAGTTCTGATCATTATGCCTTTCTGAGCAATTACTCCACCCTGAAATCAGAGATTACTGCAAGACAGTTAGAACTTGTCAGTCTCCATTGTTCTGCCTAGCTTTATGACACTGTCCAATATCAACCTCACCCATTCTTTTCTCCAGACTTGCTCCAACAGGGCTTATTGCCCTCACTCTTGCATACTACCTACCCTTGCTTACCTACTGTTAGTCCATTTGCATTGCTATTAAAGGAGTACCCGAGGCTGAATAATTTGTAAGGAAAAGAAGTTTATTTTAGCTCACGGTTCTCCAGGCTGCACAGGAAGCATGGTGATGGCATCTGCTTCTGGTGGGGGCCCCAGGATACTTACCATAACAGCAGAAGATGAAGGGGAGCCAGCGTGTGACATGGCCAGAGACAGAGCAAGAAAGAGAGGAAGGAAGTGCCAGGCTCTTTTAAACAGTCAGATCTCACATGAACTCATAGAGTGAGAACTCACTCATTACCACAAGGAAAGCACCAAGTCATTCGCAAGTGATCCATCCCCATGACCAAAACACCTCCTACTAGGCCCACCTCCAACACTGGCGGTCACATTTCAACACATGATTTGGAGGAGACAAAATACCCAAACCATGTCACCTACTAACACTGTGCCCCCTTTAACAGTTACTGCCTTCCTCCCTTGTCCCTTTCAGTAACATTTGTTTATTTCACTGCTTTTTGTCTTTCACTCCTACCTCATTCCTGATGCCTGGGGTCAGTTTGCAAATAAACTACCTGCATGCCTGCCTTTGTCTCAGGCTCTGCTTTCAGGAGAACCCGGATCCTAATAGTTGGTACAATGCTTGGAGATGTGATTTTGGATGGGACTACTTTTGCTCATGAGATGATTAACTAGGCCACTAACCATGCCTGTAGCCCCATTTTCAGATATCAGCTTTTATTCATTAACTCATTTAACGAATATTCATTGAGCATGTACTCTGCTGGGCACAGTAAATCGGAGACAAAAGACAAAAATCTTTGCTTTTATGGTGCTCACGTGATAAGTGTTTGGAGAAAAATAAAGCAGAGGAGGGAGTTTTTGATGTTAAATAGGGTGTTGGGAATGGCCTTGCTGAGCAAAGACTTTGGATGGTGGAAGCCATGTAATGTAGCCTGAGAGAAGAAGGTTCTAATCAAAGGCAAGGACAGCTGCAAAAGCCTTGAGGTATAGCATGCCTGACTGTGCTCTAGAAGCAGCAGGATGCCAGCCACGGCTGGAGGCAGTGGTTGAGGGTGGAATTGAAGGAGATGAGGTTGAGAAGCTGGCCAAAAGGAGCACGACCTTGAAGGCTTTTGTGCAACATTAACAAATTTTTTTTCTTTTTCAAAAGCTTGGCATGGTCTGCTTTACAATCTAAATGCAACAGTCTTGCATTTGGAAAGCCATCTAAACAGGGTACCACAAGCTCAGCTAACTTTCTGATTTCCTTCTCTTGGTTTTCAGAAAAATTACAAACAGATCCTTCAAAATGTTTTATTTGGTAAGATGCTCAAATTTTACTCTTGGCATTGGTATGACCATCTTTGATTTCTTGATTAAACAATACATTTTGAAACATTTATTTATTTTTATTCAGCCACAAATGTAAATTACATATGCTATTGTCTTTATTCTAAAGAGACATTTTGTTTTCTGTAGAAATACTTTACATAAATCATTGTCTACATTCTTTGAAGACCAGCTTATGATGCTGTACATATAATTATTCTCCTTGTTTGAAATGCAGTTTCCACTCACTTGAATTTGCATTTTGATTTTCTTTCCTTTGTTTTTCAATCAAATATTTTCTTGTTAGCCAAGTATGTAAGAGAAATCTAAACTGAATTGTTTTAGTTGAGAGGTATGACATGAATATAACATGAGATTTTATATGGAGTCAATTATTCTTTGCCATAATTAAGTCAGGATGGCATAAAATTAGTTTTCTGGGTCTTTAGTCAATAGTGTTTTTGTTCAAAAGTTTTGAAGATCATTTGAAATACTCACTGACTCATTCAAAGGAGGCATCTTTCCCAAGACTCATTTAGAGTCTTGGGAAAGATGCTGACAACAAGCAACAGACAAATATTTATTCGTGTCCCAGGAGGCACAATTTAACCTGTATCACCCACTCTTTTTTTCATTTATTCCTCCACCCACCCTCCCGTTTCTTTTTTTATGCTTCTGGCTTTTTCTTCTTTCGTTTAAACTCTGCTCCCTTCCTCCAAACCACCTACCCCTAAAAGTCCACCAAAATGCAGTTGACAGGAGGATGAGGTCCAGACTGCAGGCTTGACAAATTATTCCAGTTCCACTTGTTCTTCCATCAAAAGTCCTGTCTAAACACTAGTGACATGTTCCCCAGTGACCAGAGAACTTTCCCACAGGAACAAAATGTTCTCCTCGCTTGGCCAGATTAATGACCTGTGTGAAATCTGCAGCCCGAAATGCTTTAAAAAGGGCATAGAAGTAACTCATGCACTTGAACAGTTGAAAATCTATTCTACTCTTAGGCTCACTACTGTCAACTCCATGAGGGCAGCAGTCGGGATCTTTGTTGTTTGCTTTAGCTCCCCAACCATAAATGAAATGCCTGGAACATACTCTCAATGAGTATTTCTTGAATAAATGAACAACAAACACACTTAATGCAGAGTACTGTGCTGTTTTTAAGTCAAAAGATTCTGTTTATTAAAGTCCTACCTGAAAATAGCAAAGTGATGTAGGAATTGACTTTAGGAAATTCTTGAATCTGCTGGCAAATTGCTGTTAAAAACAACAAATCAGTATCAAATTTGCCCAAACCCAAATAGTACCTTCTGGCAAATGGCCTGTTGAATTTAGGCAAAGTAGATAGTATTGAATCATTTCATGCAACAGATCAAATTTAGTTATGCAGGGGGACATTTGGCAATTGATTCATCTTGGTGAGCTCATAGGGCTGGAACTCTGTTTAAAATAAAACATTTGACTGAAGTCGTGTTGAGATGCACATCTGTTGTTTGTGCCCTAGAGCAGTCATTCACTGTTCTTCTCTAACTGCACTGTGATTTTGGTTAATGTGCTACCAAAGGTGTTAACTCCATTCCCTGCTTCAGCAGAGAAGTGATTCAAACTCAGCTAATCTGAACATCACATTCCCTGGCCCACAATGACTGGATTAGAGATAGTCTCATGAGCCCATCAGAGCCAACGACATGCAATGGTACATCTATTGAGACACTGTGAAGGCAATCCTTTCCCTTTTGCTCCAGATTGTAGTTATGAAGATATTGGCTTTAGCTGTGTTGCCTTTCAAAGGGACAGTGTGTTTGATAATAATGGAACTAACACGAAGGAGAGTAGACTTGGGAGACTGAGAGAAATAAGGTCGAACTTAAACTCTCCATTAGTGTACACCTCAAGCCAAACCTATCTCTGCACTCTTCTGTAATAAGTTCAATATTTATTTAAGCCGGTTTATGCTGATTTTATTTTATTTTATTTTTTGATATGGAGTCTCTGTTGCCCACACGGGAGGGCAGTGGTGCGATCTCGGCTCATTGCAACCTCCGGTTCCCGGGTTCAAGCCATTCTCCTGCCTCGGCCTCCCAAGTAGCTGGGACTACATGCGCCCGCCACCACGCCCAGCTAATTTTTTGTATCTTTAGTAGAGACGGGGTTTCACCATGTTAGCCAGGGTGGTCTCCATCTCCTGACCTCGTGATCCTCCCGCCTTGGCCTCCCAAAGTGCTGGGATTACAGGCGTGAGCCACCGCACCCGGCCCATGCTGGGTTTTTTATCCTTTATGACCAAAAGAGTTAAAACTAATGCATATGATTAAAAGAAAAAGTCTATGGATCCTTTTTAAAAATTCCTAATATAACATATTTGTGCTGTTTTTTCTTTTTCTTTTTTTTTTTTTTTGGTCTCCTGATCAAACTTGCCAAGATTTTTTGTTTGTTTCTATCTTATTAGCCTCACAAAAATTACCTGCTTTTGGTTCTTGTGATCCTCTAATGTTTATTTGTTTTCTGTTTCAATTACTTCTATGCTTATCTTTATTATTTTCTTTCTTGTACTTTCCTTGGCTCTACTCTTTTGTGTTTGTATTTTTTTTTTACTTCCTGTGTTGAAAGCATTAATTTCCAGTCACTTGTCTTTTCTAATCTATGCATTTCAGAGTGTAGACATCTTTCTAACTACTATTTTTGTTGCATCCCTTAGGTTTTACCATAGTTTAATATTTTTATGTTCAATTTTAAAATATTTTCCAATTCCATTTTGATTTATTCCTTGATCCATAAACTCCTTATAATTATATTTTAAAATTTCTGAATGTAGGTATTTGAGGAAGTTATCTTTTTACTAATATATTCTATTTTTACTGAATTGTGAGTAGGCAATATGGGTTAAGTATTATGCTGATTTTTTGGTAGTTCTGAGATTTGCTTTATGACTCAGTATAAGGTCAGGTTTTATATGTTTGAAAATTTGTTATGCTCAGGATTTATGTATACATATTTCCATTAGCCCAAGCTTCATTATTATTTTGTTTAATTCTTAATATTCTTACTACTTTGTGTTTGCTTTATAAACTAGTGAGAAGGATGTTAAAATCATACATTATAATTATGAATTTGTAATTTTCTTATAATATTGTCAATATTTGAACATATATTTTAGCCATATAGTTAGGTAACTATATGCTCAAGATTGCTATATCTTTAGGTAAATTATTTCTTTGTCATTATATAATATTTTTATCTTAAAATCATATTCATATGACATTAATATAACTGCACCAGTTTTTTTCTGGTTAGTATGTACTTATTATATCTTTTCCAATCCCTTTTCTCTGAATTCATCTGTCCTTACGTTTATTTTCCTTTGTGAACAACATGTATCTTAAAACAATTTTTAAATTTTATTAATAGGATGATTAAAAAAGAAAGATAATAGAATACCTAACTAAAAAGCTAATAGAGGAGAAAAGTGGGATAATAAAATAGATGATTAATCCAAAAGAAGAAGTGAATTGAGGAATAAAGGGACAAAGAACAAACAGGACAAATAGGAAACAAATAGTATGATGAGAGATCTGACAGCAATATCAATCATTTTAATAATATAAATAGAATAAATATTCCAGCTAAAAGACAAGGATTGTCAGACTGAATAAAAGACAACAACAGCAACAACTATATTCTCTGGATTCTTTCTTTCTGTCAAGTTGGATCACCAGAGAGCTCTGTTTGAACTGCCTTAATCTAGTCTATAAAATGCTTGCTTTGAGCTGTACTGTAATATTATATTGTCTGCTTATAGTGTTGGTTGATATAAAAAATGGCCAAATAAGGAATATTTCTGTATTATCTGTAGACCCCTGATTAAAGACCTGACGTACTATGTGGTTCAGTGTCTCATATGAGGTTTCATGCAATAAATCTCTCCTGGAGTTAGTGCTAGGGAAAGTTTGGCCTCCTGACAGACTGAAAGCTTTCTCTTATTAGAGTTGTATAAAGTGACATTTTCCTTTCCTGTCTTGTTTACAATAAGCTTAGGGGTAAAATTTGTGATTATTTTTAGTGATTATTCTTAGTCTGTTTTTGGTAGAACTATTTCTGCCTTCCAGTTAATCACCACAAATTGAGCACTAGGTCTGCTTGAAGACTAAGGAAACAAAGGACACAAAGATACAAAATTGCTAAAGACAGATATATAAACAAATAATGATATTATAATAAGGTAAGTGCCATGACAGAGGTACATGCAAAGTGCTCTGGGGACACATGCAGAAATGATTAATTTTACCTAGAATGAGGGAACTGTGAAGGCTTCACAGAAGAGGTGGCATCTGAAGCAGGGTTTAAGCACAAATTAGATTCCACCAGATGGACAAAAACAGACTACAGCAGTGTTGTCCAATAGAAATATAATGTGAGACACACAGGAATTTCATATTTTCTAGTAGCCACATTAAAATAGTAAAAAAAAGACTAATTAATTAATGACATTAATTAAATTAATAATATATTTTAACTCAACATATCCACTCTATTATAATTTCAACAAGTGATAATTTTTCAAAAACATTAATGAGATATTTGACAATAAACTTTTGGTACAACCACTGAAAATCCGGTGTTCATTTCACACGTACATCACATCTCAGTTTGCACCAGCCATGTTTCAAGCACTCAGTAGCCACATGTGCCTGGTGGCCACCATACTGGACAGCATAGAACTAGAGCATTTTCAAGGACAGAAATGAAATAGCATGTCTGGGAAACTACAAGTGAGCCCATGTGGTTAGAGCATGGGGGAGTGAGTGTGTGTGTGTGTGTGTGTGTGTGTGTGTGTGTATTTTGGTGGATTGCGGGGTAAATGGAAGAAAAAGGGACCAGAAAGGTAGATGGAGCAGGAATATGAAAAATGTTTTGACTTTATTACATTAAAATTATTGAAGGTTTCAGCAGAGGAATGCCATTTTCATATCTGTATTTTAAAATTATAATTTGGGAAGCAGTGTGAAAATAGATTTAAGGAGGGCTGGAGATTGGAGCTAATTAAGGAATGTAAGTGACGATTCATTGAAGAGATGAGAACTTGGGTCTGTAGTTCTGAGAGGGTGAGGAAATAATTTGACAGATATTTTTCACTTAATAATCACAGGACTTGGCAACCATTTGGATGTGAGGCATGACAGAGTAAATGAAAATGACATTAGGTTTTGAGCATGGGTAATTGTGAATGCCATTAAGTGAGAGGGAACTTAAAAATAAAGCCAAACTTTGAAAGGGCAATAATTGGTTTGACCTGTTTTGTGGATATTGAGTTGAGGTTTGTAATAAGCATTTGAAAATACTGAGTGGTACCATGTTCAATAATGAGAAAACCTGTATCATAAAAATGACCAAATTGATATACACATTTAATGCAATATTAATGATAATTTTAACTTTTTAGAACTGACTGGATTAATTATTTCAAGTGGAAAAATGAACATGTTAAAATCGCCAAGAAAATATTGAAAGGGCAGAATATTGAGGTATTTGAACAACCAGATAGCAAACTGAATATGTGATAAAATACATTCAAGCTGCCATTATCACATTTTATAAAATAGGAACAAGAAAGGACAGTAATCTAAAAACAAAAGGTACAGGCAAATATGAGACTTAGAAGAGAATTTAGAGGAGTGTCTATCTGCAGAATTTAGGCAGAGTTATGGGAACTAATAAGGGGGTTGAAGCACTTTGGTGACTCTGCAAGGAAGGCATGGAGGAAGAAATAGTCAAACCCCTTTGTCTTTCCAATCTGCTGGCGCCTCCTGTTGGCCAAAGCCAATTTTAAGTCAGGAAACAAGGGGGCCTGGCTCTGGGATACAGGACTGGGGAGATAATGAATCTGAGAGAGCAAAGGAGCATTAATGACACATATGGAAAACTAACATATGACAGCTGGCATTTCAATTCCCTGGGGAGAAAGGCTTTCACAAAATGGCACTAGTTCTACATTTAAAAGAAAATGGTTGAATCATATACTTTAAAAATAAATTCTGGAGGATTAAAGATCTAAATGTTAAAAGTAGCATTTTAATAACTTCTGGTTGAAAAAGGACTTCTTAAGCAAGAGGGGAAACCATAAAGAAAGAGATAGAATAATGTACCTACATTACCCTGCCTCCGATGTGGTATTGCTAAAACAAACAAAAAATTTTTGAATGACAAAAATAATTATCAGCAATATAAAACAAAAAATAATTGGGAAAAATATTTAATACATATTATAAACAAGGGGTAATATTTCCTATATTTGAAAAGCTACAAAACTTAATAAGGAAGTTAACTCAATTTAAAACATGGGCAAATGATATTAATAGGCATCTCATCGAAGGAGTGTAAATGACCGTGATACACATGAAAAAAGTTTCTCATGTTCAGTCTCACTTTTACCCAGGAAAATTTATCATTTATTTATTTATTTATTTATTTATTTTGTGAGATGAAGTCTTGCTCTGTTGCCCAGGCTGGAGTGCACTGGCGCAATCTCAGCTCACTGCTACCTCTGCCTCCTGGACTAAAGCAATTCTTTTGGGATTATAGGCGCCCACCACCACGCCTGGCTAATTTTTGTATTAGCCATGTTGGCCAGGCTGGTCTTGAACTCCTGACCTCAAGTCATCCGCCCCCCCTTGGCTTCTCGAAGTGCTAGGATTACAGGCATGAGCCATCGCACCCAGCCAACCCAGGGAAATTTAAAGCCCAACAATGAGTATAATTTTCATCCATCAGATTGGCATATTTTTTCTCACTATTTTTCTCTTATTGAAAAAAAGACTACATTCACATGTTAAAAAATCAAATCTACTAAAAGGTATATAATAAAGCAAGTCTCCCTCTTATTCTAAATGAATAGTCACCCAGACTCCAGGGCAGCTACGATGGAGAATTTTCTTGGTTGTCGTCCCAGAAATAGCCTCTATATATCAAGTATAGAGTGAAGAAATACACACACATGTGTGTATACATCCACATAGTCCACGTATGTGTGTAGTATAGAGTGAACATATATGTGTGTGTATTAACAGAAACATGCATATTCATTCTGGACATGGTTTTTCATTTCCTATCAATCTACTTCATTATATTTTAGAGCTATATAGTATCCTATACTTGATATGCACCTTTAATCAGGCTTTAGGCTGTTTCTGAACTGTTGCTACTATAAACAATACTATGAAGATTATCCTGTGTGTTTGGGTATACCTGTAAGACAAATTCTAAGATATGTAATTGCTGAATCAAATAATTTGTACAATTCAGATTTAATGGGTATTACCAAATTGCCTTCCAAAGTGGCCACACCAGTTTCACTCCCTGTAACCACAGGTGTTGAAGGATATACATCAAACCATTAATACCAATTACCTTAGGGGTTGGATGGGTAAGAAGCAGATTTTAACTTTTTTTTATACAACTCTGATTTGTTTTACTTTACCCATGAATTACTTTGTAATTATTATTATATTTTAAAAAAGTAAATACCAGTATGAAATTCAATGGACATATATGAGAACAAGCCTCAAGTTAAGCTGACAGCTGGCTATAGAGAAAATAGCTCTATTTAAATGCATGTTTTGTTGTGAGCCTTTTTTGGAAGTAGGAAGCCCACAAATGCATGTAAATATGAAATACAGGAACGCCTGGCTAAAATGGAAACCCTAGACTTATCTTGGCTTACACAAGCCCCTAGAGAGGTGAAAGCCCATGATCTCTACTCTTTACCTGCGGGATGTTTTTTTTGTTTTGTTATGTTTTGTGTTTTTGCACTCCACTAAAAGATTGGAAAATGTTAGCGGCTCTCGCAAATGCACACATGAACTCCTCTTGAAGAAGGTGATTTATCTGGGCCATTAACATGAATGTGCCCCTGACCCTTTCTCATTAAATGCAGGTTATGCTTTAAAGATCTTTAAAAATGTTTACCTCCATTTTCAAAAATTTTCTGTTCTTTTGCATTCCCTACCAGCAGCTCCTTTTCAAGGTGGTGCTGCAGACTTCTGGAGGGCTGAGGCCCTGAAAGGGTGCAGCACAGAAGGAGGGCATCGTTTAGCAAGGGTTCTGTGTGCATTCCTGTCCCTACAGGCAAGAACTCTGTACTAGGGCCAATCAAGGAGGGCCCTACAACTGTGAGTGAGGGCTGGGGCTTCAATGAAAACAAGAAGTTCCTGTAAACTCCTTGGGAAGAAGAAAAAAGGAGTACCTGGGATTTTTGAGAAAAGGTGGTAGGAACTAATGGGAAGGCTGGATAGAGCTATGCGGAAGAGAATTAAAGACTGGGATGCTAAAGGATTTCAGAAAAGAGCCACATAATAAGAATTTTTTTTTTTTTTTTTTTTTTTTTTTTTTTTTTTTTTTGAGACTGAGTCTCGCTCTGTCGCCCAGGCGGGACTGCGGACTGCAGTGGCGCAATCTCGGCTCACTGCAAGCTCCGCTTCCCGGGTTCACGCCATTCTCCTGCCTCAGCCTCCCGAGTAGCTGGGACTACAGGCGCCCGCCACCGTGCCCGGCTAATTTAGAATTTTTAAAAATATGTGAAAGTACTGAATAAATTATGAAACACTCTAAAATCCACATGAATAAACATTTGCATTTTAGACTAATTTTTTTTTCTTATGGAAAGTTTTTTATGTTTATCATTCTATTTGCATAAAAGAGCAAGGGGGGTGGGAAAGGAGGGGAGAGAGAGAGAGAGAGAAAGAGAAACAGAGAAAATAATTTCTTTTTCTCTATAGGAAAAAAGCCAAACTCTTCTTAACTTGACACACAAGTCATTTCACAATATCCTGACTTTACTGAATGCCAACCATTGTCAAGCATAAAATATACTAAGAACGAAAATGTATATGAATTATTTTCTCCAAGAGCTCATTGTCTATCAGTGAGGATAGAATTAAAGCTAATGATTATGACATGCATGATAAATATAACATTAGAAGCCACAGAAATAGCTCCACAGAGGGGTGATTCATTCTACCTGTGGTGTCAGGACAGATTCCTTGAGGTGGTGCCATTTAAGGGGGGTTTTGCAAGAGGACCAGGAGGCAGACAGGGGAGAGGGTGAGAGAGCATTTCAGGCACATGCAAAGGCAGGGCAGTGTACAACCGCTTGATGTCTGCCAGGAGCAATGGAATTATACATCCTTCCTGGAGTTTAAAGTGGAAAGGAGGAGTAGAAGGAGATCAGGTGAAAAGGATGGGTAGGGATTAGATTTTGGGGGTCTTGTAGGACATGCTTGGGAGTTTAGGCTTTATATATAGGGGATAGGAAGCTTGCAAAGGGTTTTTGGTAAAGTGGAGACTTGCTCCTATTGTGTTAGACAGGTCACTTTGGCAGTGGTGTGGACGAGGGATGGAATTGGTATGTGCTATAATAGGGGCTTGTTGGCCCAGGTGAGGTTTGATGTGGGCTTATGAGGCAGTAACAGAGGGAATGGACATGAGAAAACAAATTTAAGATTTTTTCAGAATAGGCAGAATCTTCAGGACTTGGTGATTGTTGGGATGGGAGGGTGGAGAAGTTGTCGCTGGAGTTTCAGGTACCATCTGCTGCCCAGTCTCTATATTTACCCTGTGCTCTAACCAGGCCCAACAATTTATGATTCTCTAAGCACCCCTTTTCTCCTCAGGCTTCCAACATTGCAGGTACTGCTTTATTTATCCCTCTTCCCCTGGTAAATTCCCAACCATCCTTCAAGTTGCTCATCAAAGGTCACCTCCTCTTTGAATTCTTCACTGCTGCATGCTGTGTCTACTCTTAATTCGTATTGATCACACATTATTATAATGATGTATGTAGCAAGGTCTCCAGCTTGAGATTCAGCTCTTTATACTCTGGGAGTCAGCTATCTCTGATAATCTTATGGGGCAGGCAAATCTTCCAGAAATAAGGGGCTGAGGATCATCCTGGGAGAAAACTCAACTTGAGGGAAGATAAGCCAAGAATAACAAGTATGTTCTATAAGAAAGCCTTAGTTGTTACCAAACAGGGCAATTTGAGGACCACCTTATGTAGTGTGCCATTATTAAGCTCTTAGCCCTCAACTCCAGATTGACGCCTTTTGTACCTTTCTTTGTGATTCTGGGGCTAGGATTCTGCTCTGCTAATAGGAAGTACTAGAGGGAGACAGAGGGCAACAAGAGAGAGAAGAAACTCGCTCCATTCTAGTTGCTCTCTGTTCTGTGCCTAAATAATAGTGCTTCACCCAGGTATGCAGTTGGTTACCAGTTCTCCTCAGGTACCAATGGCAGCTTGGTGGTACTTCAAAGGTCCAATCTCAGCTTTGCAGGTCTCCACTCCAGGCACCTGTGTTGGAAAAATACCAGCCTTTCTTCTTTGTTCCCCCGCCCTAGGGACAATGGCTTCTTTCTGCAGTTACTTTCTTTGAATTATCTTGGTGCCCCCTTTTGCTTTTTTGTCCTCCAATATCTGCTTAATCAATTCCCTATATTAAATTCTTTCTGTTAAAATAACTAATGTGGCTTCTGTTTTCCGACTAGACCCTGACTGCTACACTTCCACTCAGATCCATGGACCTATAGCTGAATCCCATGGGAAATAAGTTAAAGAGTGAAAGGTTTTTGGTTTTCTTTTTCCAAAAGAGTACTGTTTTCATTTCTCCTAGAAAGCATGGCAAAAAATTAAGAGTCTTTCTATTTGACCACAGAATTTTCCCAAGATTCTCTTGCATAAAGATTTTCCTGCGGGACTTAGCAGAATCATTAAGAGTTAACACAGGGCATAGTGCAGTGGTAACCAGTTGAGAAGATCAGAGCTGGAATAGAGGAACATTTGGCTGATGGCCAGAACAGGTAAAGTAAATAAATAAAGTAGGTTAAGTCAGTGAAACAAGAGACAGAGGTAGGTTGTTGATAAACTGGATACAATGTACCTTGTCTACAAAGGACAATGACCACTCAGTTCCAATCTATTACTGCCATGTAGGAATGTGGGGCCAGTATCTTCTACATTTTTAAGAAATCTCAAAATCTAAATTTTTAGGTGAAATTAGCTAGCAATGAAGTCTAATTAAAAAATATATAACTGGGCAGATTAAAACCAGGCAAGTCAAACAATATTTTTTATCATTACAGACCATTGGCCACTATTTCTCAAATTTGCAGGAGCTAGTAAGACTTATTTATGAAACTTGTAGGAGCCTTAAGAATACTTGATGATCTCGGGAAATATCTTTGCAAGGCACTTTGTTCCTGTCATTGTAGATGTGGGTAATAGCTAGTGACACACAGTTTATATTTATTTACATGTCTTCTTCCTTTTTAGATTGTGAGCTCTCTAGAGGCAAGGATTTTATCTTATTTTTATATCTCTAGCTCCTGACATAATGCCTGGCATATAGTAGGTGCTCAACAAGTTTTAACGAATGGCTGATTGGATGAGTAAGTTAGTCACTAAGAAAGATATATCCAGAATCCACAAAGAACTTAAATTTACAAGAAAAAAACAAACAACCTCATCAAAAAGTGAGCAAAGGATATGAACAGACATTTCTCAAAAGAAGACATTTATGCAGCCAACAGACACATGACAAAATGCTCATCATCACTGGCCATCAGAGAAATGCAAATCAAAACCACAATGAGATACATCTCACACCAGTTAGAATGGCGATCATTAAAAAGTCAGGAAACAACAGATGCTTGAGAGGATGTGGAGAAATAGGAAAGCTTTTACACTGTTGGTGGGAGTGTAAATTAGTTCAACCATTGTGGAAGACAGTGTGGCGATTCCTCAAGGATCTAGAACTAGAAATACCATTTGACCCAGTAATCCCATTACTGGGTATATACCCAAAGGATTATAAATCATGCTGCTATAAAGACACACACACACACGTATGTTTATTGCAGCACTATTCACAATAGCAAAAACTTGGAACCAACCCAAATGTCCATCAATGATAGACTGGATTAAGAAATTGTGGCACAGATATACCATGGAATACTATGCAGCCATAAAGAAGGATGAGTTCATGTCCTTCGCAGGGACATGAATGAAGCTGGAAACCATCATTCTGAGCAAACTATCACAAGGACAGAAAACCAAACATCGCATGTTCTCACTCATAGGTGGAAATTGAACAATGAGAACACTTGGACACAGGAAGGGGAACATCACACACCGGGGCCTGTCATTGGGTGGGGGTCTAGGGGAGGGATAGTATTAGGAGAAATACCTAATGTAAATGACGAGTTAATGGGTGCAGCAAACCAACATGGCACGTGTATACCTATGTAACAAACCTGCACGTTGTGCACATGTACCCTAGAACTTAATAATAATAAAAAGGAAAGATAGTATGTTGTATAAAACACGGCTTGGAAATTAGACCTGTGTTCTAAGTCCTGTCTTTGCCATTAGCTGTGTGACTGTGAGAAATCAGTGAACTTACCTGAAATTAATTTTCTAATCAGTAAAATGGAGATATTGGCTGGGTGCGGTGGCTCACACCTGTAACCCCAGCACTTTGGGAGGCCGAGGTGGGTGGATCACGAGGTCAGGAGTTCAAGACCAGCCTGGCCAACATGGTGAAAACCCATCTCTACTAAAAATACAAAAATTAGCTGGGCATGGTGGTGCATGCCTGTAATCCCAGCTACTTATAGGAGGCTGAGGCAGGAGAATTGCTTGAACTGGGACCCAGGGGGCGGAGGTTGCAGTGAGCTGAGATTGCGCCACTGCACTCCAGCCTGGGCTACAGAGCGAGACTCCATCTCAAAGAAAAAAAAATGGAGATATTAATAACTACCTTCTAAGGTTTTCTGTTATTATTTATTAAGAATCTTCATTCTAAGATTTTAAATTTTATTCTCAATTTATTAAGATAATAAATGTGAAAGTGACTTTTGCAGGGGGATTAGCTAAGAATGGGAGTTGGGGAGGGGTTTATATTTTTTGTCCTTCTTCAGTAGTTTGTTCTATATCTGTAGGGGAACTGGTACCAAACCTCAATCTGAAGTATTTCAGTTGAGGGATATTTCACCTGTACATGCTGACAGTCGATAGGCATGTACTGAAGAGAATTCTATTATTTTATTAACAGTGAATGCATTTTCCTCAGAACGACTCTGATGTGCTGAACATTCACCCATCATTCAATGAGGAAAACCTTAAACATTATCCACATTTGAGTGGCTCAGATCTTTTCTAGTATTTTTTTACAAGATTTATTTTTGATTAATTTTCCTTTTCTGAAATACCTAAGGTTATGATTTGAACAAATAGAATTGCCTTAGAAATATACTATTTGGATTTCTTCCCAGAAGTCACTTACTTTCCCTATTTTCAAATTATTTGAAGCAATGAAGCTAGTGCTTTCATGTAGTGCCAGTATTTAATGCACTTGAGGTGTTTATGTGATGAGATGGGCTCTGGATACCACCAGACAGAAAGTGCCTCTTCCCTATTAACTTCTTGTTGCCTCCATCCAAGACCTCCATAGCGCCTCTATTAAATATTATGTCCCTAAGGTCGGTCTCTTTCTCTTTCTCTCTCTCTCATTTTTCCCTTGTGCCTCTCCTTGTCTGTCACCCTTCAGCCAAATGTGAGTGTGGTCAGTCGACAAGAGAGCAAAGGCTACTTTACTTCATTGTGTGCAGATCCTGGGAAGACAAACTTCATAGTTAGACTGATTATAGGTGCACCTGTCTGTTATTCAATTAATTCACTTTGACCTGACTTTGTATACATGTTAAGCTTTTTAAAAGATACCCTATTTTTTACTTCCAAGTCTTTTACTTTGCTTCTCTGCCACCCTCTACTTCTATCCTTAAATCCAAACTAGGATTTAAGAACTCTCATTTTCTTTTTTTAAAATTTTATTTTATGTTATTTTAAGTTCTGGGATGCATGTGCAGGACGTGCATGTTTGTTACATAGGTAAACGTGTGCCATGGTGGTTTGCTGCACTTATCAACTCATCACCTGGGTATTAATCCCCACATGCATTAGCTGTTTGTCCTGATGCTCTCCCTCCCTGCCACCCCCCGACACACCCCAGTGTGTGTTGTTCCCCTCCCTGTGTCCACGTGTTCTCACTAGAACTCTCATTTTCTTAACTTTCCTAGACACTAAGAAAGCAGACCTTTAGTTTCCTAGGCACCATCATTCTATGGGATTTTCAGCTGGGATGTGCAATTCTTGTAACCACTTGACACATAGTTGGTCTTCGTTCTTCAATTCTCTTGAACTAGAAATTTTTCCTAGTGAACTCTGCTTCTTGTGACTCAATATTTTATCCTTTAATCTCAGCAGAGAAAATTAATTTATGGGTCTGGAGAACTTCTCTCCTGGTATGCATTCTTTTCCTAGATGGTCTTGTCTGGCCAATTAATGCCATAAGTTTATTGATTTCAGCCCAGTAACCATTTATTGTATATTGGTGTAGCCAGGCTCTGTGCTAGGCACTGGGGCTACAGAGTTTATTCAAAGCTAGATTTTGTCATCAAACAGTTCACAGACTCAATGGGGAGACAACCAGGAACATGAATGTGAACAATCCACTGAAGTAGATGCTGCAGAAGAGATAATTCTCCCTGTTTGGAATAGAAGAAATGGAAGTTAGGAACTTTTCAAAAAAAAAAAAAAAAAAAAAAAAGATAGTTTAGTTTTGAAGGGTAGTATTACATAGTAGAAGGAAGAGAAGGAAGACAGGAAGGAAAGAAGGAAGAATAGTTTTTGAAGGATTTTTAGCAGGAGAATGATATATTTTGATTAGCCAGGTGTGGTGATGCACGACTATAGTCCCAGCTACTCCAGAGGCTGAGATGGGAAAAACTGCTTGAACCCAGGGGATTGAGGCTGCAGTGAGCCATGATTGCACCACTGCACTCCAGCCTGGGTGACAGAGCAAGACCATGTCTCAGAAAAAAAAATTAGGAATAAAAAGGGGCAGAGAGATCAAATCAATATGTGCAATTCAATATTCTAAATCATTTCTGAAAGATTCTCCCTCGGGCCTGAAAGCTTAAGGGAATGAGTAACTCCTCCCTTCTCAGGCCCAGTCCCAAGGCAAAAGACCACTTGCACCAGCAGAGTGCGTCAGCAAGATAGCAGAAGCAGGAAGAGAGCTGGCCGGAAGAAACGTACCCCCTGAAGACTAAGAGGCCATCCAGGTACCACGTAGCAGTTACATCAGACTGAGACACTTCCTGTTTACAGAAGACTCTAAAACCCCTGCCCCGTCCTCATTTGCTACTGACGCCATTTTAGGCCTCAGCCCGCCTGCACCCAGGTGCTCACTAAAAATAGCGTGTTGCTCCACACGGCCTTGAGTTGTTCGTTGGTGCACTCTCAGGGTTCGAACCGATACAAGAGCCTTGCAATCTTTATAATCAGTTTTCTGATTATTGATGAGTCAGCAAGGGTAACACAGTTATAGATGACCAGGGTACTGAAGTATATTCTAGGGTGGACTTCAGGTTTAGGAGCCTGGAGCCTAATGGTAATGCTTCACATCTCCAGGCAGCATTTTTCTGCTTTAGTCAAGTTCACTTTTAATATTTTGACATAGCCAGGGAATATGCATTCTCCAACTTGCTGGAGGAGTAAAGAGAGTAGGAAGAAGGAGAGTACCCTTCCAAATTCTGATAGCATCAAGCTGATTCTCAAATTTATATAGAAATGCAGAGGGTCTAGAAAAGCCAATACAATTTGGAATAATAAAAAGCAAAGTAGACGACTTATATGATCTGAATTTAAGAATATAAAGCTACAGGAAGCAGGATAGTGATTATTGTCATAAAAATAAAAATGTAGACCAATGGAATAGTAGCACAGAAAAAGAGCCACACATTATAGCTCGTTCATTTTTTAAAAAAATTTTATTTTAAGTTCTGGGATACAAGTTTACATAGGTAAACTTGTACCATGGTGGCTTGCTGCACCTATCAACCCACCACCTAGGTTTTAAGCCCAGCATACATTAGCTATTTATCCTGATGCTCTCCCTCCCCCAACAAGCCCCAGTGTGTGTTGTTCCCCTCCCTGTGTCCATGTGTTCTTATTGTTAAGCTCCCACTTGTAAGAGAGAACATGAGGTGTTTGGTTTTCTGTTCCTGTGTTAGTTTGCTGAGGATAATGGCTTCCAGCTCCACCCATGTCCCTGCAAAGGACATGATCTCATTTCTTTTTATGGCTGCATAGTATCTCATTCACTTTTGACAAGGGTGTCAAGGCAATTCAATGGGGCAGAGGGTAATCTTTTAATGGTGCTGAAGCAGCTGGTTATTCATATGGAATAAAATACATTTCAGCCCTTCTATCACACCACACATTAGCTTGAAATTATCTTGAAATAGATCATAGACTTAAATTTACAAGATAAATATAAAAAACTTTCAGAAGAAAACATAGGAGAAAATCTTAAGATGTTGAGGTAAGGAAAGACTTATTAAATAGGACACATGAAGTACCAACCTGTGATAGTTAATTTTATGTGACCTCTTGGCTGGGCCACAGTGCTGATATTTGGTCAAAGATTATTCTGGGTGTTTCTGTGAAGGTGTTTTTTGGAGAAGATTAACATTTAAATTAATGAAATTTGAATTACCCTCCATAATGTGAGTGGGCCCAATTCAATTAGTTAAAGGACTGAGTAGAACAAAAGACTGACCTTTCCTGAGCAAGAGAGAATTCTGCTGCCAGGGGTGCACTTGAATTGCAACTCTACCTTGAGTCTCCAGCCTGCCAGCCCACCCATGATATTTGAGACTCATCAAGCCTCCGCAGTGATGTGAACCAATTCTTTAAAATTCCTCTCTCTTTTTCTCTATCTCTCCATTCCCACCCCGCAAAACACACATCCAGTTGGTTCTATTTCTTTGGAGAACCCTAATAGAAATCCATGAAAGAAAAATGTATACATTAAACTTCATCAAAATTAAAAACATTTGCTCATCAAGACTCCATGAAGAAAACGAAAGGTTTGCCACAGACTAGCAGAAATCATCTGGTGTGCGTGTGTAGAAAAAAGGACTTGTGACCAGGCATGGTAGTTCATGCCTGTAATCCCAGCACTTTGGAAGGCCAAGGTGGGCAGATCACTTGAGCCCAGGAGTTCCAGACCAGCCTGGGCAACATGGTGAAACCCTGTCTCTACAAAAAATACAAAACAAACAAAAACCCTAACCGGGTGTTTTGGCACACTCCTGTAGTCCCGTCTACTCAGGAGGCTGAGGTGTGAGGATCAGTTGAGCCCGGGAGATCGAGCTACAGTCAGCCGTGATTGGACCACTGCACTCCAGCCAGAGTGACAGTGATCCTGTCTCAAAAAAACAAAACCAAACAAAACCAAGCTTGTATTCAGAATATATAAAGAATCTTACAGCTCCATAAGAAGAAGGCAACTGAACAGGCACTTTGCAAAAGAAGATATATGAATGACCAATAAGTGCATAAAAAGTTGATTTGTACAGAAAGTGGGCATTTTAAAGGAAAGCGAAGGAGTAGGGAGTGGGGAATGGTGGGGGCTTGAGCAGAGTCAGGGAAGTGGAAATTTACAAAAAGCAAGAGGAGAGTAGGGTAATTAACATGACCAGGCCATCTTAGTTTGTTAACTGGTTCTTGTTCAGAGGAGAAACAAAGTTCTCCTATCTTTGTGACAGTAGGTAGTGGTGTAAATTAGAACAGGGTGCCCACCTAAGTTAGACCCTTATCTTCCCACAGGAATTGGAAGCAAAACCAAGAGTTTCAAACAGATGGCTCTCAGCTCCCTGAGAAAAACTGTTTTAGGTGGTAGATTTATATCTCAAAATTCAGAGAAAAGATTTAAAATTGCAAACTTTCTAAAGTAACTGCTATACAACATAGATATGTATTGAAACTTCAAATTGTACTCCATAAATACGTACAATTTAAATGTGTCAATTTGAAAAATTAAAAAAAAAAATAAAGTTACTGCTCCAAGGGACCTGTCTACCTATTGCCAGGTTTTGGCTAAAACAAATACTAAATTCTCCTGGCAGCATTGAGCTTTCTCAGGCAGGCACTTCAAGGGAGGCTGAGGTCATTCTAGGGATGCAAACTTTAGCTGCTAGAAACGATGCTAGTGTTTGTTCAAGTCTCTTAGTGTGAGGGACTGGACAAAGTCATTCATGCTGAGAGTCTGCAGTTTTTATAGGTCAAGCTTCAGGCCTTGTCAAGAAGAGGACTCAGAAGAGCTCAACTAGAGGTTAGTCAAGAGGAGAGTCTTTGTCACTAATCATCGGGAAAATGCAAATTAGCACTAAGATGTCATTACACATGGAGAGGTGCTAAAAATATGACAGTGACAAGTGTTAACATTTGAGGATTGCTGTAGGGAATGTAGTGGTACAAATACTTGGGAAAACAGTTTGGCAGTTTCTGCATAATTAAGCAATAGTTACCATACTACTAAGAAATTTTGCTTCTGCATATTTATTTAAGAAAACTGTCCATCAAAAAGTGAATGCATAAATGGACTTGGTATATCCATACAATGGAATGCTACTCAGCAATAAAAAAAAAGAAACTACAAATAAATGCCACAAATAGATGAATATGAAAATCATGCGGAGTAAAAGAAGCCAGACAAAAAGTGCACAGACTACAACTTCATTTATATAAAATTCTATAAATTCAAACTAACCTATGATGGCAGAAAGCAGGTCAGTAGTTGTCTGGGGACAAAGGTGGAGGGAAAGATGAATTTCAAAGAGCATGAAAAAACTTTCAGAGGTGATAGAAATGTTTCTACCTTGATTGAGATAATAACTTCCTGGGAAAACTCATCCAATCTTTTACTTTATGTGCAATTTATTGCATGTAAGTATACTCCAATAAAGTATTAAAAATAAAATTTCAAATATCCATTCATACAAGCATTTATTTAACACCTTAATTTAAATTGAAGAAACAGGAAAGCTATTTTGAAATTTACCTTGGTTTTGCTTTTAATTGTGGTATCTAGATCAGGGGTTGTAAACTTTTTCTGTAAAAAGCCAGGTAGTACGTATTTTTGGCAAGTCACGTACAGTTTCTATAGCATATTTCTCTGTCTTTTTTTTTAATGACACAAAAAATGTGAAGATCATTTATAGCTTGTGGGCCATACAAAACAGGCTGCAGGCCAGATTTATTTAGGCCCAAGTGGGCCAACTTGACCTTCATTTTTTAATAATCCATTTTATTTTATTATTGATTTTTCAAACTAGACTCACTTTCATGATCTTGTTTGATGAATGATAATACATTTGGAAGGCTGGGTGAGCAGATGGTTCTTCATCTTAGCACAAGCCAGAAACTGACTACCAGGGAGCTTAAGTGGATTGCTACACAGTCAATTAGTGCCACAAAACTTTATCTGTAATATTCCATGTTTAGGAGGATCTAACAATTTGGGAAGGGAATTAAGAAAATATAAACAGAACCTGGCCTTGTTGTGCTTAAAATCGAATTGTCACCTCAGAACCTTATCATTCATATCATGAAATAATCTAAGCTTCCCTTCTTCTCTAGGAAATGCATTTTACTCATTAAAAGAATTTGTAGAGAAGCAAAATTTATAGCTGTTTCTTATATTACATCTTGATGGTATTTGAACTGCAGGAAACCTGCTTATAGCATTCCTTTGCAATAGCTATGTCACCAGAACAATTTTTTCAATATGAAATTCCGTAGTACATGAATGGCATGTTCGGGGTTAACATTTATTTTTTTTTCAGTAAAAGAACACAATCATACAAAATAACTTCCCTTACAAAAATGCAGACACCATCTTTAATTCTTTAGATGATGGATCCCCTTCATTTTGGTGATAACTTTACAGGTGTGTGTATGTGTTCAAACTAAACAAATTGTATACATGAAGTAAGTGGTTTTTGGATCTCCATTATAGCTAAATAAAATTGTTTTTTAAAAAAGAAATAGAACTTTCCAAAATCAATTGCAAAGAGGGAGGTATACATTTACATAGTAGAGTTTTACTTAGTATAAAATATGAGGAAAACAAACTTAACTAAATATTTCCATTTAATAATTCATAAAATAATAAAAATAGTAATATAAAGTATTTAAAAATCTGTATATATAAACATACATTTATATTTTATATATCACATATATCTCAAATGTTTCTATATTACATATGTCCCAAGGTAAAGAAACATGTATCGAACCTTTTTTTCACCCAGAGAATTAAGAAAACAAAACAAAACCTCCTGAAAAAACCCCAATTCTTTACAATTAGTAAACAATGGAATCAAATCTCATCTTCTTAATTAGAAAATTGGAAAAAATAGAAATGTTTGGGTAAAAGCATTTTTCATCCTGTAAAATTTTATTTATGAATAATTAAGAAAATGTTTAGAAAGTTACATGAGAAACTACATACTCTAAATAAAATGAATTATTAGATGTCCTCACATGAAAACTCAGTGTAATTTTCTAATGATTTCTTGTTGACTATGTTGCTTAGATTAAAATATGAAAATCAAAATCACATTTTGGAAGAATGATGAGTTACATTATTATTATTAGTTTTTGCTGCTTTCTTGGTGCGATTTACTTGGGCATGTACATAAACCAGGGATAATTTATCTGGTTTACACAGAATAGTGATTTCCCATATGATTTTACCCAGTTTCTGCAGGAACTCATTTTGAGCTAACTGCAGTGGTTAATAAATCATTAGAGAGAATTCACTTTGGGATAGGAGGAATTAATACTCAAGATTTCCAGACTCATTCCCTCAAAGGCCTCTCTATTAATCAAATGACTAACATTTCTAAAGGCAGCAATAGACACCATATGTACTTTTGCAGGATATAGAAATTGTATTAAGCATTGTGCTTGGAAGCATAATGATGTCTTTTCAAATGAGTTTGCACTTCTTTCTGACTCACAGGGTAATTTGATGTAGAGATTGAGTTAAACAGTTGTGGACTTCTTTAAGGCCATTTAATTCTGAAGAATGCAAAATAAAGATGACAAACACTGGAAAAATGTGAAAAAAGTTTCTAAATGTCAGTGTTATTGGGAACAGACAGAAGGGAAAACGTATTGCAGGATCTTTATTCAGGGAATGCATTGAAGAATCTTGTATTCTTATAATCCTTCCTTTCAAAGCATACATTTTAGAGTTTCCTGGGGGAATCAGCCCTCCAAAATGCATTAATGATCCATCTTACACTATGGAAAATTGGTGTAGAGCAGGCCAGGTGCTCCTTTCTTGATAAGGGTTGATTTGAACTTCTCTCAGAATTTGGTTAGTCCTAGGAAAATTTGTAACAAAGACATTCTTGTGATAATTCTGATATCTCTTGTGTGTTGGGCCATACACTATAGATCTGCCAGCAGAATCATAGTCATAAATGTACAAACTGCATTGTATAAATGTTCACATGTACAAATGTGTAATTCTAGCATCTGGAAAACCACTGCAGATGCCAGCTGCCACCCTCAGTGCTCTGGACACTCTGAGACCCAGCTCTGGTTGTTTTTGCCTCACTTTTGCTCCACATGGGAGCTCCAGCTTCTGGTGCCAGCAAGCTAAGTTTCCAGCCTTGCAGTATGGCATGTTAGGTGGATGGTCTGTGCTGGTGAATTTGCTTCTTGAGGCAGAAGCTACCAAGGCTGCAGGGACAGTCATTAGCACATAAGGAGGCTGTCCCTTCCTGCCAGCTGGTCTTATGTCACTGTGGCTTGGTGCCTCTGGAAAAGAAGTTTATTAGGCAGCCAATGTTACTAGTAATTTTTCAAGATATTCAGATAGCAAGATATCTTAACAGAGTACACACATACTTCTACATACCTCACATTCACACAAACACACTCATACACACACACAGACACACACACAAATTAGAGACAGATAAATCTTTCCTGTCAATCATAATGACAGAAACTTTATAGATGCTAAACAAATACTAGGTTATAAAGGCAGAGTTGATTATTCACCATAGTTTTAATTAGGCAGGAGAAGAGAGCTGTTGAGTCAAGTTTTAATGCAAGCATTATGTCTACAAGTATAAAAAACAAAAACAACAAATACAGAACCTTGAACAAAATACCCTCAAGCTTGATTTCCAACTGAATAAATTGATAGCTAATTTTGGCAGATGCACTAGTAATCCACGATTCTAAGTCAGCATACAAATTTCTGTATCCCAATTTTTCTCATGCAGGCAAGAATCCTGCAGACAAATGACCCAAAGAGCCTTCAATGGGAAGCTTATAACCTTGCCATTCAGGATCATCAAACTGGTCAGAAGAGCGAACAGCACTAACATATTTGTCCTTTTGACTCAAATATCTTATTTCTTTATTTGCAACTTAAAATATTGCCATTGTATTTCACATTCATCCATACAAATGTCAAGTCTTCTGAATTTTTCTAAAAAAAAATAATGCTCCAGGAGAAAGAATAATGATACAAAACAAATTCTAAGATAGACTTGATAAATACTGGAACAAATTTCCCTCCAGGGCATACATACTTCCCAATGCTTGACTAGTGGCTTTTTAAAAAAATTTTTTAAATAATGCAAAAAACAGCATAGCCATTGACAATAATGACAAAGGTCTCTAAAGGCCATGATGGGGTCAACATACTCTGGGCTGTGTTTACTCACATATTTCTGATACTAGATGTGTGGAGTTTTTTTCCTCCCACCAACCAGGCCTCCAACTCTCTGGACACCAACTAGGTGTCCTACAACTCCATTCAATTCTGACCCTAGCTACCTGGGATTATGCAGATCCCACAGGTTAAGGACTCAGTCCCAGAGGACTGCCCCCACTTCAGATGCCAATCTTAAGTCCTGGGTCTCCCATGCTTCTGAGTGACAGGCTATAAATCAAAGGTCTCCATGACACCCCCCTTCTCAGGTTCAATAATTTGCTACAACAGTGGCTCATAGAAGTCAGAAAAACAGTTTACTTACAATTATTAAAGGATGCAACTCAGGAACACCCAAGTGGAAGACATGCATAGGGCAAGATATGGGAGTGGGGTGCAGAGCTTCTATGCCCTCTCTGGTGCACCACCTTCCACCAACCCAGAAGCTCCCTGCACCCCATCATTTAGGGGTTCTTATGGAGGTTGCATTACATAGGCATGATTGATTAAATCATTAGCAATTAATGTTTGACTCCGTCTCCAGCCCCTCTTTCCTCCCCTGGAGGTGAGGGAGCAGAGTTGATAGTTCAATCCATCAGTCACATGATTGATTCCTTTGGCAACCAGCTTCCATCCCGAAGCTATCTAGGGGCTCACCAAGAGTCACCTTGTTAACATAAACTCAGGTGTGGTTGAAGGGCACTTATTATGAATAGCAAATTATGCTCTTCTTGCCCCCATCATTCAGGAAATGCCAAGGGTTTTAGAAGCTATGTGCCAGGAACCCTGGACAAAGATCTAATATACATTTCTTTTTTTCTTTTCTTTCCTTCCTTCCTTCCTTCCTTCCTCTTTTTCTTTTTTTCTTTTCTTTTCTCTCTCTCTCTTCCTCCCTCTCTCCCTTCCTCCTTCCCTCCCTCTCTCTCTCTTTCTCTTTTTCTTTCTTTCTTTCTCTTTCTCTTTCTTCGTGCTCTGTCATCCAAGCTGGAATGTAGTGGTGCAATCTCCGCTCACTGCAACCTCTGCCTCCCAGACTCAAGCAATCCTTTTATTTTAGCCTCTGGAGTATCTGGGACCACCGGTGCATGCCACCATGCCTGGCTAATTTTTTGTATTTTTGGTGGAGGCAGGGTCTCATCACGATGCCCAAGCTGGTCTCAAACTCTTGAGCTCAAGCAATCTGCCTGCCTTGGCCTCCCAAAGTGCTGGGATTATAGGCGTGAGCCACCGCGCCTGGCCTACATTTCTTATTATGTGCAATATCACACATGTCATCCTCTGCAAATGTCAGGTTCAAAATTTCTGCCACCACTTAAGATTAAAGCATGTGGAGGGTTCTGTAAGGTTTCCATCTTTATTTA
Organism: Homo sapiens; assembly: GCF_000001405.40. Classification (NCBI taxonomy): domain Eukaryota; kingdom Metazoa; phylum Chordata; class Mammalia; order Primates; family Hominidae; genus Homo; species Homo sapiens. The sequence continues at coordinate 76,945,569 of NC_000012.12, forward strand.
TTTATTTTTTAATTTTTTTTTTTTTTTTTTTTTTTTTTTTTTTTTTTGAGACGGAGTCTGGCTCTGTCGCCCATGCTGGAGTGCAGTGGCGCGATCTCGGCTCACTGCAATCTCCGCCTCCCGGATTCACGCCATTCTCCTGCCTCAGCCTCCCGAGTAGCTGGGACTACAGGCGCCCACCACCACGCCGGCTAATTTTTTTTTTGTATTTTCGGTAGAGACGGGGTTTCACCGTGTTAGCTAGGATGGTCTCCATCTCCTGACCTCGTGATCTGCCAGTCTCCGCCTCCCAAAGTGCTGGGATTACAGGCGTGAGCCACTGCACCCGGCCTATTTTTTTTTAAGTCAGGTATACTTTATTCATTCATCCAGTTCAAAGTACAAGTGAAGTTTCCTATAGGATGTGAGAGATTTAATATATAATCACATACAGTTTTACTAAATTCCATTATGCTGAGTTCTAATTGCTTCCTATTGCATTAGTCATTGTGGTTTTTCCATTAAAAGTAATGGCAAAAACTGCTAATTTTGCACCAACCTGATATTTACAACCACGTCAGCTTGGCTCATGGGGTCCTCCGGAATCTGCCTGGCATCCACCTTTCCAGCCTCAGCTCCTGCTCAGCTTTCTTTCTGTCCATGGAAACTAAGCTTGTTCTCACCCTGGGCTTTTGCTCTTCCTCTTTACACTGATCTTTATGTGGCTGGCTTCTTTTTCATCATTCCATTCTCAGCTCAAAAGTTACTGGCCATTAGAACTGAAAAGGCCTTCCTGTCACCTTTTATCAAATCACCCAGTTTTATTTCTTCATAGCATTTTTCATTATCTAAAATTATGAATGAATTAATTAATTCATGTATTACTAAAAAACTTATTAATGTCCATCTCCAACTGTCCTTCCTGAACATCTTGAATAGAAGCCTCCTAATGGCAGGTACTTTTCCATCTTGTCACTGTTTACCCCAGCGCTTAAATCAGTGCCTGATGCACAGGGAAAGTAGGATTGAGAGAGTGGAGACACTTCATTCAGGGAATGTGGATTGAGGGAGCAGAGACAATTCATTCCGGGAACATGGCCAACTTGTAAAGCATTAAATGATCTTAGAGACACTTTCATCACCACGTATGCCTCCGCCTATGCCTCCTTCCTGTAGATCCTGGATCAGCTAGGGTAACACTGCCAGGTGTATCTTATTCTCAGTGGCTTGATATAAGACAAGTCTGTTTCTTGCTCATATCATGGTGCGATGTGATTTTCTGTTGGGTAGGCTCCCGTGTGCTCATTTAGGGACCTAGATTCCTTTCAACTTGTGACTTTCTCTGAGTCTAGGAATTTGGTGCTCTCTTCATTCAGTTAGCAGATGGGGAAGGAGACCATGGAGAAGACATGGGTATAGTTTAACGATTTCACCCATGAAGTGGTACCTATCATCTCACTCTCATTCCGCCGGCCAACTTCAGCCACACAGGCTTCTTGTAACTGCCATGGAGACTGGGGAAAGCACTCTAGCTGTGAGCCCAGGAGAAAAGGAAATGGGATTTGATGAACAGAGCATCATCCTCCAGGAAAGACTGCCCTCTTTCCCTCACTTGATCTATGGCCCAAACTCTTCTTAAGAAATCAGAATCTTTCTTTGGGGGCCACTTCTGGTTGTAAGCTCTGATTCAATTCACTGGCTTTCCTCAGAAATGCTCCACCAGCCCCCTGAAATCCTATTTTCTTTCATTTTCTTTTAGCCAGTCACTGTTCTTGCTGCACTTACTAAATGTTAATTTTAGAGCCTCTGAGCCTCTGATATTGATTCCCTTAGTCTTGGTCCACTTCTTCTTATTCGTAGATTCATCTAATAGCTTGTGCCTTTGATCTGTATTTTCTCATCTCCCTGACTCATCATATCCATGTCTGCCTTAGCTTTGCACAGCACTATCACTCCTCTAATACTTGGCACCAGTTTGTCTGCATTCAGCTCGCTCTAGTCTCTTTGCAATATCTCCATTGGGAGAGGTTCTATATGCTTCTTCATATTAACTGCCACTCCTGTTTTCCCTGGGAAGTCTAGACAATATAACTCTCTTTCACATTGAAGTGTCATCTTTATGACAATTGATCAGCACGCTTTTGGAAATTTCCCACAGCCATCCATCAGAGCCTACTCTCATTATAGCCACATAGTAAAATTATGAAAGGAAAAGAGCATGTGCCTTGGGATTAAATAGATCTGGATTTAAATTCATATTCTCATTTATTAACTGAGTCATCCCATGGAGATGGCGGTAATACTTACGTTTAGGTTTATTGTAAAGATTAAGTACAATAACAGAGTGCTTGTTATTATCATTACAGCACTCTGGCAGATAGTAGTTTCTCAATAAATATTGATGGGTGACCCCACTACTCTCAGATATTATTCTTATTCATAAATGGGAGTTCTGGAATAGATAATACAATGTCTAGCAAAATGGAACAATGTTCTAATTTGACTTTATAATGGCAGGTAGCCTCTGAATGAGAATTTTGCTTTGCAGAATGTGGAGTAGATACTGAGGGATTGGTTCGTTAAGCCAGCATCCGGACAGTAGTAGGCTAGAAGGAATCAGGGCCACCACATAGGACTGCAGTCTGTGTACTGCATAACTCAAAGGGGTGCCATTCTTAGAGCTAGTAAGTGAATGACACCTCTGGGAACTATTCAATGGACAACCCTGGGGAAACTGATTAGACTTGGTTGAAATAACTTCCTTGGCTTCCTTCATCACAGTTCAGACAAATAAGGTTTCCCAGCTATATGCTTTACATGACTCAAGCTCCATTTAAATTATTTTTCTTTGGGTTAAAAAAAAATATATGACATATGATGCTAACAGAGGATCAAAAAGTCACCATTTAAATGTTCAAATAATTGTAAACATTATTTAACTAAATTTAATTATTTCTCAAACTTGGTAGATTAGGCTGCATGTTAATACAAACTCACTGTGAAGAGAAAATGAAAATAAGAGCATTTTATTTCTTGATAATTCTTAGATACTTGATATTCTTTGAAAACAATGCATAGAATGACGATTGATACACATTGTCTGGTTCAACAAACAAAATGTATTTTTCTCCTCTTACTGCCCATTCTAACATACTCAAGTTAAGGCTCCCCTATAGCATAGATGTAATTTCCTAGACCTGCTTAGACAAGTACCAGAAGGGAACATGTTTCAGATTTATAGATATTAGTGTGCTGTAAGTACCATGGAAAAAGGCAATGTGTTACTTGAAATTATAAATTCTCACCAGAAGTACTGGTGTGGTTTTATATAGTTGCTGCCCTGATACCATACGGTTGTGAATGTTTTACAGATTTTTTATGTAGTCCAAAGAAAACAAATTACAACAATTCCCTCCTGCACTGTCAATTAGGTGAGCAGATGTGACTGCTAAGAGGCAAGTTCTTTGGGGAGCCATTGCTGTGTTACTGAAATTAAAATTGCACCGGATGTTAGGGGCTCCCAGTCCAAACCCCCTAATTACATTTACCAAAGCAAATCATTTTTAAAAAATGACTGCTGCTTTACTGGTAAAGATTTAGAAGATATCATCTAACAGTCCATTAAGGATGAAGGCAAAATGATCAAATGTCAGTTACTATGATTTTTACACTTCCTTAAAGGTGTCAAGGTTCTTTGGAGGTGCTCCTATTTTAATTTTCTCAGTTCGGTGAAAATGAACTTGCCCCCACTAAGGCTGGCTTTGCTATTTGGCTCATCCTCTGACATTTTTATAGCTCCCACGTGTCTGAATCTTTCAGATTCAATTTAAGTGGAGAAGAAATAAAATAACTTGAAAACAGTCTTGTTAGCTTCATATTCTATCAAATTAATAAAAGGTCTTGTCCCTGTGTGCAGCTCTCCCACCGGCTGCCCCCACATTTTTATTAGGAGTGAGGATTTCTTTGTCTGGCTTGGATTTGTGTGTGTACTGGCCAGGCCAAGCTCTCTTCATTTGCTAAATAGAAACTTAATGCACATAAAATTAATGATAAATCTGATTATGGTGATTTGCATAAATTAGAAGACATTTTTATTAATTTCTGAGGGCTTATCTCTACAAGAGGGGACATATAAATTTGGACACTAATTAAGCCAAGATTACCTTTGTTAATGAACATAAGCATTCATTAAGCTTTCTAATGAAAAGAGGGGTGCACACTGGTGGGGGAAGGCACTGTACTGTAGGCTCCAGCAGAAATAATAAAGTTGTGTTGTGATATTTTATAACACCAGGGTGGCCCACTTGTATTAAGAATATTCTTGTTAGTTTGGAATTTTTTCACAACAAATAAAGCCAAAAAAACTGTACACCTATTTCCTTTGAGGGAAGAGGGATATGAAAGGGAAAGAATGTCTTCTGTTCTTGGTAAAAAATTAGAATGAATAATTTGTCCCAAGGATAAATCAATGTGCATTCTTAATTAGCTCCAGATTATAGTGATCTTGTTCTTCAATTGATCTTAATTTTAGATACACTTTCTTCTCTGTTTCTTCTACGTTAGTTGTTTCTCAATTTTATTGGCTGGCTGCATTTTATCAATGCTAAAAAGAGATGTGGAAAACTGGGAGCAGGTCAAAAGCAAAGTTACTCAAGAAACTTATGGAGTGTAAAAGACAAGGCAGGGTCAACCCTGATCAGGATTTTGAAAAAGGTAAAATTTGCTTCTAGGATTTAATCTCTTGTTTCTATTCTTTCCTTTTATTCTTTTTTTTTTTTTTCTTTTGAGAGGGAGTTTTGCTCTTGTTGCACAGGCTGTAGTGCAATGGCAGGATCTGAGCTCACTGCAACCTCCCACTCCCGGATTCAAGAGATTCTCCTGCCTCAGCCTCCTGAGTAGCCAGGACTACAGGCGCACAACACCATGCCCAGCTAATTTTGTATTTTTAGTAGAGACGAGGTTTCACCATGTTGGCCAGGCTGGTCTCGAACTCCTGACCTCGGGTGATCCGCCCGCCTTGGCCTCCCAAAGTGCTGGGATTACAGGTGTGAGCCACTGCGCCTGGCCTTTCCTTTTATTCTTTAGCTTTTTTAACATGCCCACACATTTTGTCTTCTTTCTATGTTTTTCTTTTACCTTCTTCCTAAGGTGTCTCACGCTTATCCTCTCTAAGTTCTCAGTGTGGGCTTACTTCAACTAGGAGTCATTCTATACTCTGAACCTCTCCCTGTCTTCTTCCATTCATCAAACCTACTTGTTCTATGGCCCAGGGTTTGCTCAGGACCTTGTTGGGTGACAGGTTAAACTGATGAACAGAATCAGAGCAAATGTTCATGGCCAGAAGGAAGTTTGAATGAATTACTTCCCTGAAAGTAGAAGCAACATGTCACACTGTAAAGCACACAGGCTTAAGACTCATGTTCAATTCCTGCCTGTAACACTTTCAAGATATTGTGACTTTAGACAAGTCATTTAAGTTTTCCCCTTCCTTCTTTCCTTCCTTCCTTCCTTCCTCCCTCTCTCCCTCCCTCCCTTTTTCTCCTTCCCTCCCCTCCCCTCCCTTCCTCTTTCTTTCTTTTCTTTTCTTTTCTTTTCTTTTCTTTTCTTTTCTTTTCCTCTCTTTCTTTCTTCTTTCTTTCTTTCTTTCTTTCTTTCTTTCTTTCTTTCTTTCTTTCTTTCTTTCTTTCGAGACAGGGTCTCACTCTGTTGCACAGGCTAGAGTGCAGTGGTGAGATCTCAGCTCATTGCAATCTCTGCCTCCCTAGTCAAGTGATTCTCATGCCTTAGCCTCCTGAGTAGCTGGGACCACAGGCACACGCCACCACACCTGGCTAGAGATGGGGTTTAGCCATGTTGGCCGGACTGGTCTCGAACTCCTGGCCTCAAGTGATCCACCCACCTTGGCCTCCCAAAGTGTTGGGATTACAGGTATGAGCCACCACGCCCAGCCTTATTTAAGTTTTTTAAGTTTCAGTTTCTACATCCATTAAATGGAGCTAGTTGAGGGATTCAAATGAGACCAAATAATAGCTGATATTTTAGTGTTTGCTATATGCTAGGCACTGTTCTAAAGGCTTTACATCTATTAATGCAGCATCGCACTGCCTACCCAGAACAATGAGCATTACTATGCCCATTTTATAGAGGGAAAAAAACCCACACAGAGATGTTAGTTAATATAAACCATCTTGTTTCTTGCCTGGGTTATTGCAATAGATTCCCAACTGGTCTTCCTGTTTTCATCATCTGTCTCTTCAATGTATCCTTAACACAACAGGCAGAATAATCCTGCTGAAACTTGAGTCAGATCTTGTCACTACTCTACTTAAAATCTTTCCACCTTATCCAGAGTAAAAGCCAAAATCCACCCTATGTTCTACAAGGCTGCCTCTCTGGCTTTTTCTTATCCCACTCTCTCCCTCACTTGCTCAAGTCAGTTACTGTGACCTTGGACACCACCTTTCCCCTTACTTAGGGTCATCACCCCGGGCAGCTTTTGCCCCTGGATGTGTTTCCCCCAATTATCTACATGATTCCTTCCTTTGAGTCTTTTTTTTTCCTCAAAATTCATCTTCTTAGTAAGCCTTCCTTGGTCACTATATGTAAATGTGCAGCTCACACCTCCAATTTTTCGGCTACCCCTTCTCTGCTTTATATTTTTTCTCCTTAGCCCCTATTGCGGTCTAGTATGCATGTGTCTACTTATTTGTTCACGGTCTACCTCTTCCACTGGCATATGAGATACATGATACAAAGAAGGACATTTGTTTGGTTCATTGTTATGTTTGTAGTGCCTGGTGCATTATGGTCATAAGTATTTGCTGAATGGATGAATTACCTTGCCCCATGTCACACAACCAGTAAGAGGTAAGGTTCAATCTCAGGCTCTCTGATTCCAGAGTCTTAACCATGGAGCTTTATTGCTTTGTAAACTGTAAAATATTAAGCAAATAACCATTATGCATTATTTAGGGAGATAGTGATGGTGCATGGGAAGATCACACATACCCCACTTGTCTAAGCTCAGAGTCTGGGATGATATGACTCCCTGCCTACTAGCAAAGAAATAATTGGGGATGTAGGACTCATGAAAAGGTAGACCATCATTTTCTTTCTTTTCTTTTTTGATACAGGGTCTCACTCTGTCACCAAGGCTGGAGTGCAGTGATACAATTATAGCTCACTTCAGCCTCAAACTCCTGGGCTCAAGGGATCCAACCACCTCTGCCTCCCAAATAGCAAAAACTACAGGCATGTGCTACCGTGCCTGACTAATTTATTACTTTTTGTAGAGTCAGGGTCTTGCTATGTTGTCCAGGCAGGTCTCAAAGTCCTGGGCTCAAGCAATCCCCTTGCCTCGGCCTTCCAAATTATTGGGATTGCAGGCATTAGCAATTGTGCCTGGCACATAATTTTCTGTTATATCTCTAATATCAGGTCACATGTCGAATGGCATAGGTAAAATCTAGCCCAGGGGTAGATATGGCTTCGAGTCACAGACACTGTAAGAAAGTCTTACAACAATTACTGTAGCTGCCACTCTCCACTGCAGCTAATTTCCATTGTTCTTTTCTGCCTTCCCTTTCTCTCACTTTCCTTTCCAGCCAGTTTTTCCAGTTCTCCATCTGTTCTACAGCCTGAGGGTGGCACTCCTGGTCTTTGTCATGCTGGTGTCATCCTAGTGAAGAGATGACTGACTGTTCTAGTCTGAACGAGATCACCCCTCCCCAAATCCTTCCCAGCTCTGAAATTATACTTCTGAAATATAAAGTACTTCTACATTAATAAATTGCTGTGTTCACACTATTATGGGTTTCAGGCTCCAGACTCAGAGACTGAAATCAAGAGAGAGAAAGAAATCTGGAAGACCAGAAGTGGAACAGATTAAAGGTTACATATCCTTACCAGCCAGTTGTTAATTTCTCTCATCATTAGATGGTTGGCTCCACACAAGCCCTACTTGGCACCCTGAGACCCCCAGCCTTGTATAAATGAAGCCATCCACCTGCCTCCTACCACTTACCCTCTTGGTCCCATTGCTTGCTTTATTGGCCTAGTTATTCAACAGTCTATAAACCACTAACTACAACTATATTAAGTTTTAAGAATCAATTCCTAGGATTCCAGCAAAGAGTTTATTTATAACTGTTGCCAGTTTAGACATTGATAGGGAAAAAATGTCAGATATTTTTAGGAAATCCAGCTTAGACATTTTTAGGAAAAAAATGTTTCAGGTATAGCAAATTTCCCCCCCCCAAAAAAAAAAAAAAAAAAAACCAAAATCCTGGCATGTCCATATGCTTTTCAAAAGATTGAATTCACTCAGTGCGTTTTAAACATCAAGCAAAACAGCAAAAGATCCGTTTTCATCTTTCTTAGAGAATAGGAGGTCCCTTCCTTTGTGACCTTCTTGTTTTGCTTTTAGTCTTCCCTATATGACAACTTTCCTTCCAGCCACAGAGGACTGGCAGCTTTGGCACTCTGGAAGCCACGCTCCATGTAAGAGAGATGTGAGTGTTATTTATTGGCCAGGGGGTGAAGTCCTACTGATCTTGGTGATGGTCCAAGATCATTCATATCATTCATGTTGCAGATTGTTCTAATATTACTTTTTTTCTGTTGCCTGTAGGCACATCTTGTGTGTGTGTGTGTGTGTGTGTGTGTGTCTGTGTGTGTGTGAGAGAGAGAGAAATCTCTTAGAAACCAATCTTCTCAAAGAACACAAGAGGAATATAATAAATTCTCACTCATTGGTGAGCACTGATTGGGGCAGGGAAAGAGAAATAATTAGAATAATCATGATGATGATAATAGTTAACAGTTTTGAAACTTACAACATGTCAGTCACTATAGCTAAGTACTTTTTATATTATATCATTGAATTCTCACAGTCACTTATCTTACAGATGAGAAAACTGAGACTCACATGTGAAGTACATTCCCCAAAGTCACTCAGCTAGTTAGAGTGCAGCTACCTTTCCTCTAACAACAACGATAATAAAAAAAAAAATAGTGTGGTTCTTTTTTTTGCCTTCCTTATACAGAGCAACAAACCTCCCTTTTAATTTCTGATTATTTATCTTACAAATTTCATGGAAATTCCCGTCTAAGGAATTTTTTTTTCCTCTCAACCCTGTTTGAATCTGCCCCTTTCCCAGAATTTTTTTTTTTCTAGGCCACATAGCATGGTATTCTAGTAAAATCTACAAAGTATTTTGGATATACTTTGGCAAAGTGTGTTCAATTTCCATTGTGCAACTTTCCAAAGGTAAAAGCTGAGGCAAATATCTTAGTCCTTTGAGCCTCAGTTCCCCACTTAAAAAAAAAAAGATAATAGCTCTTTCATAGGGTTGTTGTGATGATAAAATATGATAATGCGGCCGGGCGCGGTGGCTCACGCCTGTAATCCCAGCACTTTGGGAGGCCGAGGCGGGTGGATCATGAGGTCAGGAGATCGAGACCATCCTGGCTAACAAGGTGAAACCCCGTCTCTACTAAAAATACAAAAAATTAGCCGGGCGCGGTGCCGGGCGCCTGTAGTCCCAGCTACTCGGGAGGCTGAGGCGGGAGAATGGCGTGAACCCGGGAAGCGGAGCTTGCAGTGAGCCGAGATTGCGCCACTGCAGTCCGCAGTCCGACCTGGGCGACAGAGCGAGACTCCGTGTCAAAAAAAAAAAAAAAAAAAAAAAAAAATATGATAATGCATGTGTAACTTAAATATTTTGGCCTTCCTGAAGTTGCCTACAGTTTCTGCTTTGTACAGCATTTCATTCAATAGAAACATACATCCACTTCTAAGAGTTCTTCAAAATGATACAAATCATTATTGAAGTGTCTAAAATAGAAAGGAAGGACCAATCCCATTATTCAACATTTATCAAAGCTTCCTAAAAATTCTCTTCTCCCCCAAATTCTGCTTCACAAGGCTACCACAACCTCTTTCCCAGGGCATTGGCTCTTCTTCATTGCTTTCTCTCCCTAAGGTCCCTACTCCACTACCATGTTGTCTAGTACTGCAGGATGATAGTTTTGTTGTCTGGTTGCTAAGGAGACATTGTCTCAGTTATTTCTAAAGCAGTCTTGCTGGGGGCGAGTACATACAACAGCAAAAATATTGCCATTTTTTTACTGTCCTTCTTTACTCACTTATCTCTCCTTTCATTATTTCCTGGATAGAAATGATTTATTGGAAGCCAATAGCATTTTTTTCTTTTTGTCTTGTATTTTATGACTATTTTGTCTAATTTTTCTTTTTTTTTCCTTTTCTTTTTTTGGAGATGGAGTCTCTCTCTGTCACCCAGGCTGGAGTGCAGTGACTTGATCTCAGCTCATGCAACCTCCACCTCCTGGGTTCAAGTGATTCTCCTGCCTCAGCCTCCCAAGTGGCTGGGACTACAGGTGCATACCACCATGCCAGCCTAATTTTTGTATTTTTAGTAGAGACAGGGTTTCACCATGTTGGCCAGGCTGGTCTTGAACTCCTGTCCTCAAGTGATCCGCCTATCTCTGCCTCCCAAAGTGCTGGGATTATGGCATGAACCACCTACCTGGCCTATTTTGTCTAATTTTTCAAATAGAGTGAATTCATTATTTTAGTTTGGGATGTGTTAGGCTGCAAGTAACAGAAAAATGGACTCAGTGTGGCCTAAACAAATAGAAGTTGTTTTTCTTATATACAAAACATCAAGATGAAAGAAATTAGCTGCTACCATTGGTTTGGCAGCTCATTCTCTGCAGAGCCAAAGTCTGCTCTGGCTAGGTCTTTCATTGCAGCCAGAAAGCTTTGCTAGAAACTTGAGCTGATTTTTTTTCTTATATCTCATCAGCCTGAACTATGTTAAATGGCCATTTTTGGCTTCAGGGAAACCTGGGGAGATGGGAAAGCTTTGTGGGGGAAGTGGACAAGAGAGAAGGGAATTGAGATTAGGTCTTATGTCTGCCCCACTCCTTAAAGACAGAGTATGTAACTCGTTCAGTCCTTCCTCACTGTGCCTAATGTACTTCTGGGACATAGAGAGTACTCAATCAATATCTGTTACATTAATTAATTTATTAATAGGTAATGGATGGATGAATGACTTTACAGCTGCAAAGGGCGTATAAGGCCTCAGATAGTAATCTTTAAAGTACCATCTGGAAGTCAGAATGCAGTGCAGATAATTTTCTCTGCCAGCATTAGGAAAAAATAACTTCTATGACCCACACCTGAATATTTGGAAACTCTTCAAAAGGCTTAGGAAAGTTCAAAGGACTGCCGCCCATGAAGTTTGGTAATAATTGTATTAGCTGTGGAATCAGGGAAAATATTTCTAAAGAAATCTGGGGAAGTCAATGACCTAAAATAGATAAAATGATGACTTTTTATTGTTTGTTCCATTTAAACATTTACTTGTTTTTAACATAAAAGTTTTGAAGTCATAGAATCTATGAAAGGCTGGAAGAAGGCAAAGAAAAGATGAGGGTCTGAGTAGCAATGTTCACATGAAGCCAATGCCACTTGGCTTTATTCAGGGGTGTCCTTGAATCTTAGAACAACCTCTTCATGCATGGTCAGTACCCTCCTCGGAAAGTATGTATAGGTGCACTTTTTGTGGACTAGCTTCATTCTTGCCTTAGTTTTATATCTTCATTGCTTTCTCTTTTTTTTCTCACTTATTTCTAATTTATTTACCTTATTTTATGTATCTTTAGAAGCTGTCGTAAGTCCTTTATGAATAAGGCAGGTTACAAATAACTAGTTAGTGATCAAGAATGGTGCTATTTTCTGTGCCTATTTCTGAAATCAAGAGCTGTAATGACTTGCATTTTAAAATAATTAAGCATATTCAGGAATAGTCACAGATTCTGAGACAGAACTGACATCAGAGATAATCCCAGAGTGTTAAAGATTACACTTGAAAATGAATCTAGGCTTCTTTGAAGTGTGACACATTGTAAATTCATGGGTGGTTTGTAATGTACTGCCAAGCTGTGAATTTGGGTACCTCATATGGTGTTCATATTTTTGACTGGCAAATCTGTTGTGTTCACAGTTGCCACCTCACCCTTCTCCAGCACTCACCCTAATATTCCTTAGTGATTACAAATTATGATTATTATGTCATTTGAATTTTTATCTTCAATTAGGTGTATAGGAAAATAAGTTTTTGTAGGACTTGGTTTGGATCTACGAAACAAATGTTATATAAATGTTTCTTTTCATTACTGCTTGTTAGACAAGAAATGAATCTTGCCAAAGCCTTATTTTAAAAAGAGCTAGTCTTGGGAACAATTCTTCATTTAGTGTAAATTCTCAGTCTGCATTGTCAAGTGAGTAGTACTGAATACTTAACAGGTGGCTTAGCAATTGACGTGCAGAAGAAAAGAATTATTATAACACCTTAACCGTTTGCAGATGTCCTGGGTAGGAATATACATGCTTCTTTTGTTTCATAGTGCAGTCTTTTGTTTTCATGTTTAGTAATTTTTTTATTCTTAATGGACCTGTCTACAAATGAATCCAACTGGTTTTTTATTATGACAAGGAGAATTTCAACTAGAGGGGGAAAAGTCTATCAATATAAGGAAGAGAATGAGAATTGACAGAAATTGAATAAATTTTTAAATTTCTATTTAGTTAAACTAAGGGAATGTGATTGATAGTGAGCACAAAGGAAATGACATAAGGATTTAAGAATTTTCTGTTTCATGGTAGAGCTACTCTGGAACCTACATTTAAATCTCTCTATTCTCAAGTTAGGCATTGGTTTTCAAGTATCACAATTCTGTTGTTAAATGAGATTTACTGGTGCACTTAGAAACATTACAAAGCTTTATTGTAGACTAGCTAGGTAAGCTGTTGTGTCTCCCCTTCCTCACTCTGTGGACCCTAGCCCCAGAGTATTAGGAAATATATGGTAACAGGAAATATTGATTCCCCACAAAAAAACACAGAAGAATATGAATTCTTTTTGTGAGATTTGTTATAAGCCTCTAAAATACAAACACAAACCCCTAATGAAATAATGAATCAAGGTCGTCATGTTCAATGATTGCTGACATCACAGATGGGCAATAGAAAATCATGTAACACCTACTGGAAGTTTACAGTACCACCTATAAAGTTTTTTTTTGTCAAAAAATTAAAGTTACATCATGCTTCTAGTTATAACTGCCAGTTTATAGTGAATAAACTAGAAAGAAAAATATATCAAAAAGCACCAGAGAAATTTAATAATCAAAATCCAGAATATGAGATACTCTGAGGACAAACAGTCTGGTGTCATTGACAAATGAATTGCAAGGAAAAGTGGGGGACAACTGTGGATGAGAGACTTAAAATAAATATCAAACAAAAACAGTATGTGAGGCTTCTTGCTTAGAAGCTGATTTGAAGCCAACTATAGTTTTAAAAAATTGATACAAATGTGGAACTCTGAATGCTGACTGGTTGGTTGTTTAATGATATTAAAAAATTATCAAGTTGTTCTGTGTGATGATAGCATTGAGATTATCTTTTTAAAGTTCTTGCCTTTTATAGAGAATAAATGACTTTTATTATAATAACTGGAGCCCTAGACTGTCACTTTATTTAAAAAGACAAATAATCATGTACAAGACAGTACCATTGCCATTATGAGGAGAAATAGATTACAATCCTTATTATATACATATTAGCTATGTTCCATATGGTCACAGGATTTTCCTAAAACTATATCTGTCTGCTTTAAGTAGACTTGTGTTTGCTGAGAATGGAATGGCTTGTTTGAGTCTCCAGGATGACATTTTATAAAGATAACTGAGTTCTGTAGGAAAATAAAAAAGACAATTTTTAAATTGACTAGATTCACTGTTACAATCTTATACTGTGAAAGTCTAAGAAATCAGGCAACATTGTTTCCTAGGTTTTTTCAGATATATTATTATGGATTTACAAAGGTTTTTTTTTGTTTTTTTTTTTGTTTTTGTTTTTTTTTGAGACCACGTCTCACTCTGTTGCCAAGTCTGGAGTGCGGTGGCTCAATACCGTTTACTGCAACCTCTGCCTCCCAGGTTCAAGTGATTCTCATGCCTCAGCCTCCCCAGTAGCTGGGACTACAGGTGTATGCCACCATGCCCAGCTAATTTTTGTACTTTTTTTTTTAAAGTAGCGATGGGGTTTCACCATGTTGACCAGGCTGGTCTCATACTCCTGACTTCAGGTGATCCGTCCGCCTCAGCCTCTCAAAGTGCTGGGATTACAGGTGTGAACCACTGCGCCTGGCCTACATAGAATGCATGAAGAACACCACTAAAGTGCCTTTCTTTCTTCAAAGCAATATTATTTCCAAGTATATTAATTTGTTAGAAAACTTTCCCATGGGAAATATTGTCAGTTACCTGTACTGTAACAACTTATGTTCGGTATTCAAAATTTTCTACATGGATATAAACCACTCTCATGCGCTCTCAGTAGGAGGCATTAGATAAACATACACAACAGTTGGGTTCCTTTGTACAAATGTGGGATAAGAAATACTTTCTTGACATTTTTCCATGGCCAAGTATTCCCATTAAAGTAAGAACAAGAATTGAAGAGATATTTTGTGTATAGAAAAATTTTCATTTAAAAAATATTATTGGTAATCTTGAAGGCATAGATAATGGGCATGTCATAAAATTATCAATTATAACTGGCATTGAGGGGCTGTCCTTCCAAAACTAAACTGAACCTTACCTGGTTACAGATGTAGAACTAGATCACTCCTTTTTCAAATATAGTGGAATCATCCAGTGCATATGTATACAAAGGATCTTGTGGATTATGTGATGATCACCTGCCTTCTTTGATTGCATTAATGCATCATGCTAAACATTCAGCACAGGTTAACAATTCCAGATTTGTTTCTTCTTGAACAACTCAATGCTCTAAATTTTACTATGTGTTTAATAAGACCTTCCCAAATAAAAAATAATAATTTGGAGCTTTTCCTCTGCCCTCTACCATACATTTGCACCAGGAGGAAGATGGAATGAATATGCAGTGTTAAGTTGGTGTATGTGAACAGTGATTTGACATTATGCCAAAGAGAAAACTGCCCCAGTTAAATTCGGTTAAGTAAGATGGCTAAAAGTAAATAAGTTGAAACACTGGAAATTATTTTTCTCATGTTCTCTTGAGGCAATGAAGGGAATATGATACTACAGTATATGAAGTTGTTGGTGTTATACTATGCACAACATATTTTGACTATTTGAATAAATGTTAAATTTTTAATCAATTTGTACCTTAATAGTGACTGGTTTTCTGTAAGTACAGAATAGATATGGATTGTATTTTGTGTCATTTTTTTGTCCTTTTAGTGATTTTTTAAAATGAGAGATGGAATTAACATTGAAAATGGGAATTTTTTCTAACCTAATCGTTACATGAAAAATTTATTTATTTACTTATTTAATTTTTGAGATGGAATCTCACTCTGTCACCCAGGCTGGAGTAGTGCAGTGGTGCAATCTTGGCTCACTGCAACCTTCGCTTCCCGGGGTCAAGCAATTCTCCTGCCTTAGCCTCCCTAGTAGCTGGGATTACAGGTGCACACCACCAAGCCTAGCTAATTTTTGTATTTTTAGTAGAGATGGGGTTTCACTATGTTGACCAGGCTGGTCTCAAATTTCTGATCTCAGGTGATCTGCCCGCCTCAGCCTCCCAAAGTGCTGGGATTACAGGCATGAGCCACTGCGCCTGGCCTTATTTATTTTTTTGGGGCAGAGTCCTGCTGTCACCCAGGCTGAAGGGTAATGGGGCGTTCTTGGCTCACTAAAACCTCCGCCTCCTGGGTTGAAGAGATTCTCCCACCTCAGCCTCCTGAGTAGCTGGGACTACAGGCACGTGCCATCACGCCCAACTAAGTTTTGCATTTTTAGTAGAGACTCTGTTTTACCATGTTGGCCGGGTTGGTCTCGAACTCCTGATCTCAAGCCATTCTCCTGCCTCGGTCTCCCAAAGTGCTGGGATTACAGGTGTGAGCCATCATGCCTGGTCAAAAATAAATTTAGATAGCCCCTCTGTATTGCTAGAAAAGTTCTTACCTTTCAGAAATATACACTTTAATACCTATGAATGAAATGATAAGTTTGATTCAAAATAATTTGGTCCTGAGAAGATAGCATTTAAATGAGGTAAGTTTGGCTATGATGTGAAGATGGATGCAACTTGGTGATGCACTTGATGATGGGTGTTCATGGTGCTCTTTTTTTTTTAAAAAAAAAAAAAGACTGAGTCTCACTCTGTCGCCCAGGCTGGAGTGCAGTGTCACAGTCTCGGCTCACTGCAAGCTCCGCCTCCCGGTTTCACGGCATTCTCCTTCCTCAGCCTCCTGAGTACCTGGGACTACAGGCACCTGCCTCCAGGCCTGGCTAATTTTTTGTTTTTTTGTTTTTTCAGTAGAGCCGGAGTTTCACCGTGTTAGCCAGGATGGTCTCGATCTCCTGACCTTGTGATGGGCCTCCCAAAGTGCTGGGATTACAGACGTGAGCCACCGCGCCCGTACCATGGTACTCTTTTCTGACATTTATGTTTTGAATTTTCTGAAATCAAAAGTAAACAAGCCAATTAAAAAATCCCCACAACACACACACACACACACACACACACACACACACAGACACACTCACACAGAAACCCCTTGTAAGAACTCAGATTTTATTCTGACAATTTCAAGCCTTGACCTGAAGTGCTCTTCCCCTGAAGCCTTTTATGGTTCGCTCACAAGGGATGATCTGGCCTTCATTTGTATGCAGGTAGTGCTCTGGGCTTCCTTCTCTTGTTTTTGACATTGTGTTGTAATTGCTTAGTCACCTGTGGAGTGGAATAATATTTTTGAATGAATCTTTTGTTTCCCATATTTCTTCTTATTCCTTGGCCTTTGCCTGATTCAATCAGCTGAGCATTTTGTGTTCGTTGCCAGCGGGGAATGGGTGATGGAGTAGATAGACAGGGACCAAAAAAGGAGTTGATTCTATTTATTTACCTAGAAGTCGATTTTCAACCTTTGAGTTCCAAAGCCTGGGCATCCTGGTAATAGGAAGAAACCATGTGGAGTAATAGATTTGGTACAAGTTGTGAGGAGTTAGAGAAGAGCACATTTGTAACCAGAATTCTCTAGACTGGAGTAAGGGGGAGAAAGGGGAGAGGGAGGGAACATAGCCTAGTGGGAGACAAAAATAGGTGGGATCTAGAGAAAGCCCAGATCTGGAGGGTTCACACAGATAGGTCCACAGCCAGCCTCCAGAGAGAGCTTGGCCCCACCTGCCCATCCTCTCGAGTGAGTGTTGCTTGGCATCAGCATCAGGGACCCGAGTGTGAACAGTTAGCAGCCACAGACGGTCCTGTCCCCATTCCAGTGTGGCTTAAACATCAGCTTAGCTGTCCTTCTCAGTGCTGGGGTCTTTTATTGTGGAGGAGGGGTGGAGATGGAGGGAATATACGCTGGTAGGAGGCAGAGATAAGTGGGATCTGGGATGGCAGGAGAGACCTGAACTCTGAACAAATTGAGGAATACAGCCAAGAACTGACAAGGGCTACAGTATCACCATTCTTATTGATAAACTTCAGGATTGGAGATGTAAAATAAAATGGATTTACAGAACCCCAGATGGGAGGGCCAGATGCACCTCTTTGTCCCACTGGCAGTGCTGGATGAAGGGCAGGCTCTCTCTCTGGGGCTGGTGGAAGGTCCCGTGAGGTTTTTGGCAGCTCCTACCACTCATCCTGGCAATCAGGTTTGCTACCAAGAGGAAAAAGGGAGAAGATGACATGAGAATACCTCGTTTGTTCTTCCCAATTTTATCAGATAGAGAAGTGACTGTGTTCACTCCTGTGATGAGATTGGGCTGGAGAGCCAGCAGTATTACACTGGTAGTGCTTTTCTCAACATGAAAGAAAACGCCAGGAAAGGGAAAGACACTCTCCCCTCTAACAGTCTGCAGCCAGCACGTCATTTGTTGCTCATCTGGTAGAATGATACCCACCTGCACAAGACTTTGAGCAATACCCAATCAACTGACCCAAGTGAAACCACCACCACCCCCAAATCCCAGGACCCTTGGAATAATGCAGTAGAGACTGCGAGCATTAAGCCCCGAAGGGGCAGTGGTGGCTGTAGGTGAAACTTTAAATTCTCCTACTTACCCATAAAAGTGGTGAAATTCATTTCTATCACGTATCTTTTTTGTCTTTACCACAAGTGTATAAATACTTTTTGAGGGCAAAGATGAAGCTTTATTCACGGCTGTATTTGTGTCCATCAAAAAGGAGAGACTCAGCAAATATTTACTGAACTGAATTGTAGTAACACTATAATATAGTATCATTTTATTAATGATATTTTAATCAATCAGCCAGATAACCTGATCGCTGTGATCAATCCTTTTTTTCTTATGGATTAATCCCATAATTATAACCTCACATATACTCAGTTACAGATTGCCACACATTACCTAATTTTGCCAGTAGATCTTCAAAACAGTTACTGTCTTGCAGTGTTAACAATGACCTCATTCTCTTAAGTAGTTAAAATAGTTAATGAAGGCTGTTAATTTATGAGTATTTCTTCCCTTTCATGCCCTAGTTATGGAAATTGATTTAAGTGTTCTAACCATATTTCTAATTCAATGTATTATTAGCCAGTAAATCAGTCCTTAACTGCTCATGTCACTTTTACAATAGACACACAATTTATCAACTTAATAAAAGAATGTTGTGCTCAACTATCAACATTTATAGGATTCTAATTTCTAAAATGTAGCTCCCATTTCTCTTCAAGTTGTACAAGTTCTCATGGATATATTTTATCTTGTTTCAGACATTTGTCAGTTGTTGACTGCTCACACAAATACCCCTTTCTACCTCTGCCCTGATTACATTTAGGAGAATTAATTATCCCCCTTGTGTGAAGTCTTGGTGGGGTGGTAAATCCACCTATTTGTTTTTCTATTCTGAACTATAAAGGGGAGGCTCCTTCCATAAGATTCTCTTTTTTATCACTCAAGAACAACCAAGAGGCACATAACATTATTAGAGTCTTGTGTGACTTTAAGTTTTGAGTAAAATTATGCAAGGTCAGAAATAAATTGTTGGGAACTCCTTCATGCCAACCACAGCATCTGGACAAGGTTGACAGCAGTTCCTGTTACAAAGACTCTCTAAAGTCACCCGGTTCTATCTGTTTCAAGACTTTTCTTTACAATTTGTGGCTCCCCTATAATCTCCCAATTAATCCCTCAATTTGTGTTTCCATTTGCCAAGATAGTTTCTGTTGCTTGCTACCCTAGAACCTTAACTGATTCATAAAGCTTTGGAGAAAGCATCATGAAATGAAAGAAACCCTGCGATAAGAGGCCTGGGACATGAACTATAGTTGTAGCTTTACAGTTAACTTGCTTTGAGATCCAGTAGCAGTTCCCTATCCTTTCAGATTTTAATTTCCTCATTATAATGCTAATAGCCGAGGCAACCTTGAAGCTTCAGTTTTTAAAGCTATACTTTTATGACTTGTGTTGCTATTGGTTAGGAACCACTATCAGGATATAGTGATTATATTACAGTGGCTACATTATCAACACTGTGGTTAACTTAAGAACTTTCATAGAAGTTTTACTCGATCTTTTAACACACAGGAGTATTCCCGATCTGTTAATCCTTGACTGAGCATTTACTCTGTTGGTCGTCTCTTGGGTGGGGTGACCAGATATTGGAACAGATGCCTACAGCAGAGAAAGTAAAGGGGCATGTAATTACCTGTTCTTGGGAAGTATTACCTCAGTTCACTGGGGTGTTTATGACAGAGCTAGCCTCAAAGATGATTGATGGGATTTGCTTTAGCTCCAGACAGTAAGAAATGCTGACACATTACATTAATGTTAAAATAAAATCTAGTCAGCAAATACTTACTGTAGGTAAGGCACCCTCCCTTTGTGAGGCCTCGCCTTTGTTGTAAATTTCAGGATCTCATACACAGTGTCTAATTTGGAAGTGGTTGTCACTGAATGTTTCCTAATATTTCTAGGCTTTTCCTTGGTTCTGGTATCATCAAAATTGGGCTATTACAATGTAGATTAGTACTTTCAGTGACCCATGGATGGTACTAACACCAACTGCCAACTGCTTCGCATTCGAACTAGACTTTGGTTATTACACTTGGTCTGTATTTCACAGCTCAATAACTCAGTAAATAATACTATAGCAACACAGCATTTAAAGGAAGTTTGACAATTACCCAGGTACTTCTAATGATTTCTAAAATTAATTTGGATACTATAAAATACCTGTGAAATGTACTTTGAGATCACCATGAATGACTGGTATGCAGTTTGCTTGACTACGAAGGTCAAAGCATATCCAGTTCACTTGGCCTTGTATGGCTGCCTACTTGGCTTAGAGTCTTATCTGAAGCACTTACTTCAACCAAGCAGATGATTTTCACTTCTCAGCTTCCTGCAATGACTCTCCATCCCATTAAAATAAAAATCAGTAGTTGTAGAGTAAGCTGATAGGACCCTCCCATGATTTGGTCCTGTTACTTCTCTTGCTTCACTCCTCCCATCTTCCCCTGTTCACCTCATTCTAGCCACACTGGCCATCTTGCTGTTCTTTCTCAGAGATCTTGACCTGCTTGAATAAAGAGCCCTCCAGCACCCTCAGAACCAGGTGAAGGAGCTCTTCACTGCCACTGGAGGCCACCATCAAGACACTCCTGCCACCAGCACTGCATTCTGTTGCTGTGAGAATCAAAGGGTCTCATAGTGCTAGCAGGCCTGATGGCTGCCAGAGTTTTGATTGCAGGAGTCTTTGATGTGCTGGTTGTCTACCGCTCATCAAAGCCGACTCTGTACCTTTTTGCCGTACAGAAGCTAGACACCACTCCTACTGGTGCCATCCCCGTAAGGCAGAGTGCAACACCGCAGCCCGTTGATAATAGTATCTAACATTTGCTTAATACTTACTATATACCAAAAATGATATTCATTTAATATACATAATAACTTTGCGAGGTGTGCACTATTATTATCCATATATTATAGATGACCAAAAGAGAGCCTTTGAAAGAGTTAACAGTATTGTGCAATGTCACACAGGTAACAAGGATAGAGGCTGGATTCCAACTGAGGCATTATAATTCCAGAAACTATGAATTTAATGACTCCAGAATCAAAACATTTAGCCTCACCACTATATTTGGTTAAAGTGGGAAGTAACCCATTCTCCCACCTTTTTGCCACTTTAAGCTCAATGTATTCATGTAGTTTTCATTTAAAAAATATAACTATACTTTTGTGCAGTTTTTACTCACCGCACCAGGGGACAAATCTGAAAGTCAGGCTTTGTGCTAAAAATCAAAATTAGAACAAACTTGAGACCACCTGGAACATTATTATTGGTTCTCACATCACTCCTACAACTTTTAGCAGAATGCAGGAAAGCTTGTCTGTATGATCTAAATTAAAACAATGATGAAGGTGATGATTATTTTTGAGATGACACAGGATTAGGTTGGGAAAAAGTAAGGAGTCAGCAACCCAGGCCCTCGCCTCAGCCATTCTTATTTAAAAGCACCTCTACTTCTCTCATTTTATTTGTTTTACATTTTGGACTTCCTGGTGTGATTTCTTTTAAAGAAAGATTCTGGTGCTTAAAATAAAGAAAAGGAAAAAGAGGAAAATCCGAAATCCAGAGTCACTACTGATGTTCCTTCCTCTTCTCTTTTTTTGGTTGGATATGGTGGGGTCTGGTAAGAAGCATTAATTCAGGGTATGGACTCACAGGGATTTGTCAACAAGGATAGTATATTTTGACAAGGACCAACACGGAGGCCCTGTTTCCTTGGCCGTCTGGACACAGGGGTTGACTTCCGGCAAGGATGCCTTTGAAATGTTTTTTCAGGTTTCTCTTTTGAAGTACAAGGATAAACAGGTCCTCCTTTAAATTCTTTCTATTGTCTTTGATGGTTTCTCTTTTCTCTGTGGATAAAAATAGAAAATTTAAAGAAAATATCAGCTATTTCTGAGACGAGTAGTTTAAAAAGCTCGAGTGTCTCCACAGAGAGCAATTGTGTGGGTATTCGGGCCACATGAAATTCTGATTCGCCAAGGGGATTGTGGCTCAGTCTGAAGCTTTGCCAGGACTTGCATGTCTGGGTGGTACAGGGGTGAGAAATTCTGCTACAACAGCTGCTGTGCTTTCAACACTGTGAGAGCAACATCACCTTAGTATTCCCATAAGCCTTCTCTCCCACTCCTACTTTAGCTATAGAAACTGCATTTAAAGAGAAAAAAATTATGTGCAGGTATAAAGTTGAAATTATTTTATCGCTTGGTTAGATGATTTCCAAATTGAACATTTTATGAGTCCAGAATACAATATCCCTACATATACAAGTGTAAATACTTATTTACATTTAGAAATAACCAGCTCAACAGGTACGTGTGAATGTGGCATAAAATGTAACATTAGAAGAAAGAAATCTCAGCATAGTTCAGGCCATAAAATACTGGAGAAAGTTTTCTTACATTTCATCTGTTAAAGTAGTAACAGAAAAACTCTCATATTCTGTTCCCATGGTTAGGTTGTCTTGCACAGGATGTAGTTATTGAAATGATCTTTTTATAGTTCTGAGTTGATATCTCATAATTATTGACCTGACAGTTTCTTTGCTTTTTTGCAAAATCATTGTAGTCTGCAGCCCATTATCTTTCAAAGAGGTAGAAAATGAATTTCTCAGTGCCTGGCCCTGTAACGACCCATGGTAAACTCCAGAAATGTTTGCTGAATATATAAATGAATGTAGGCATTTCACAGTTCACCGAAAATGAGCACATTGAAACATTTATTTGAAGTCCATTACTTCAGCCCTTTTGAAATAGAGTTCTATTTTCTGACTTGGGAAATCTTTTAAACTCTGGATAAATATGTAAATTCTCACACTTTATATACTTTATGATTCTGTTCAATTTATGGAAGAAACAACAGGTTATTTTAATATGAAGCTCATTTATTTTTGTTTAAATTTTTCCGTATGTTATTGTGGTATTTTGTTACATGAGTAAGTTCTTTAGTGATGATTTGTGTGATTTTGGTGCACCCATCACCTGAGAAGTATACACCGTACCCTATTTGTAGTCTTTTATCCCTCGTCCCCCTCCTACCCTTCCCCTCAAGTCCCCTAAGTTCATTGTATCATTCTTATGCCTTTGCATCCTCATAGCTTAGCTCCCTCTTATATGTGAGAACATACAATGTTTGGTTTTCCATTCCTGAGTTACTTCACTTAGAATAATAGTTCTCCAATATCATCCAGGTCACTGCAAATGCCGTTAATCATTCCTTTTTTATGGCTGAGTAGTATTTCATTGTATATATATACCATGGTTTCTTTATCCACTTGTTGATTGATGGGCATTTGGGTTGGTTCCATGATTCTGCAATTGCGAATTGTGCTTCTATAAACTTGCGTGTGCAAGTTTCTTTTTCGTATAATGACTTCTTTTCCTCCGAGTGGATTCCCATTAATGGGATTGCTGGATCAAATGGTAGTTCTACTTTTAGTTCTTTAAGGAATCTCCACGCTGTTTTCCATAGTGGTTGTACTAGTTTACGTTCCCACCAACAGAGTAAAAGTGTTCACTGATCACTGTATCCATGCCAACATCTATTGTGTCTTGATTTTTTTGATTATGGCCATTCTTGCAAGAGTAAGATGGTATCATATTGCGGTTTTGATTTGCATGTCCCTGATCATTAGTGATGTTGAGCATTTCTTCATACGTTTGTTGGCCTTTTGTATATCTTCTTTTGAGAATTGTTTATTTATGTCCTTGGCCTACTTTTTGATGGTTTTTTTTCTTACTGATATGTTTGAGTTCATTATAGATTCTTGATATTAGTCCTTTGTTAGATGTATAGATCGTGAAGATTTTCTCCTACTCTGTGGTTGTTTGTTTACTCTGCTGACTGTTCCTTTTGCCATGCAAAAGCTCTCTAGTTTAATTAAGTCCCAACTATTTATCTTTGTTTTTATTGCATTTGCTTTTAGGTTCTTGGTAATGAAATCCTTGCCTGAGCCAATGTCTAGAAGGATTTTTCCAGTGTTATCTTCTAGAATTTTTATAGTTTCAGGTCTTAGATTTAAGTCCTTAATCCATCTTGAGTTGATTTTTATATAAGGGAGAGATGAGGATCCAGTTTCATTCTCCTACATGTGGCTAGCTAATTATCCCACCACCATTTGTTGAAAAGGATGTCCTTTCCCCACTTTATGTTTTTGTTTGCTTTGTTGAAGATCAGTTGGCCATAAGTATTTTGGTTTATTTCTGGGTTCTCTATTCTGTTCCTTTGGTTTGTGTGCCTATTTTTATACAAGTACCATGCTGTTTTGGTGACTATGGCCTTATAGTATAGTTTGAAATCAGGTAGTGTGATGCCTCTAGATTTGTTCTTTTTGCTTAGTGTTGCTTTTGCTCTGCAGGCTCTTTTTTGGTTCCATATGAATTTTAGAATTGTTTTTTCTAATTCTGTGAAGAATGATGGTGGTATTTTGATAGGAATTGCATTGGAATTGTAGATGCTTTTGGCAGTATAGTCTTTTTAATAATATTGATTCTACCCATCCATGAGCATGGGATGTATTTCCATTTGTTTGTGTCATCTGTGATTTCTTTCAGCATTGTTTTGTAGTTTTCCTTGTAGAGGTCTTTTGACTCCTTTGTTAGGTATGTTCCTAAGTATTTTATTTTATTTTAGTTTTTTGCAGCTATTGTAAAAGGGGTTGAGTTCTCGATTTGATTCTCCACTTGGTCACTGTTGGTGTATAGAAGAGCTACTGATTTGTGTACATTAATCTCGTGACCAGAAACTTTATGGAATTCTTTTATCAGTTCTAGGAGCTTTCTGGAGGTCTTTAGGGTTTTCAAGGTAAATGATCATATTGTCAACAAACAGTGACAGTTTGACTTCCTCTTCATTGATTTGATGCCCTTTATTTCTTCCTCTTGTCTGATTGCTCTGGCTAGGACTTCCAGTACTATGTTGAAGAGGAGTGGTGAGAGTGGGCATCCTTGTCTTGTTCTAGTTCTCAGAAAGAATGCTTTCAATTTTTCCCCATTCAGTATTATGTTGGCTGTGGGCTTGTCATAGATGGCTTTTATTACATTGAGCTATGTCCCTTGTATGCTGATTCTGCTGAGAGTTTTAATCATAAAGGAATGCTGGATTTTGTTGAATGCTTTTTCTGCATCTATTGAAATGATCATGTGATTTTTGTTTTCAATTTTGTTTATGTGGTTTATCACATTTATTGACTTTCATATGTCAAACCATCTCTGCATCCCAGGTATGGAACCCAATTGATCATGGTGGATTATCTTTTTGATATGTTGTTGGATTCGGTTAGCTAGTATTTTGTTAAGGATTTTAGCATCTATGTTCATCAAGGATATCAGTCTGTAGTTTTCTTTTTTGCTTGTGTTCTTTCCTGGTTTTGGTATTAGGGCAATGCTGGCTTCATAGAATGAATTGTGGGGCCGGGGGTGGGGGGTGGTTCCTTCTTTCTCTAACTTGTGGAATAGTGTCAAAAGGATTGATACCAATTCTTTGAATGTCTGGTGGAATTCGGCTGTGAATCCATCTGGTCCTGGACTTTGTTTTGTTGGTAACTTTTTAAGTACCATTTCAATCTCGCTGCTTATTGTTGGTCTGTTCAGGGTATCTAATTCTTCCTGATTTAAGCTAGGAGAGTTGTTGTTTTCCAAGAATTTATCCACTGCCTAGGTTTTCTAATTTATGTGCGTAAAGGTGTTCATAGTAGCCTTGAATGATCTTCTGTATTTCGTGTTGTCAGTTGTAATATTTCCTGTTTCGTTTCTTAGTGAGGTTATTTGGATTTCTGTTTTCTTTTCTCGGTTAATCTGGCTAATGGTCTATCAATTTTACTTATCTTTTCAAAGAACCAGCTTTTTGTTTCATTTATCTTTTGTATTTTCTTTTGTTTCAATTTCATTTAGTTCTGCTCTGATCTTGGTTATTTCCTTTCTTCTGCTGGGTTTGGGTTTAGTTTGTTCTTGTTTCTCTAGTTCCTTGTGGTGTGATCTTAGAATGTCAGTTTGTGCTATTTTGGTCTTTTTGATGTAGGCATTTAGGGCTATGCACTCTCCTCTAAGCACCGCCTTTCCTGTATCCCAGAGGTTTTGATAGGTTGTGTCATTATTGTCGTTCAGTTGGAAGAATTTTTTAATTTCCTTCTTGACTTCATTTTTGACCCAATGCTCATTCAGTAGTAGGTTATTTAATTTCCATGTATTTGCATGGTTTTGAAGGTTCCTTTTACAGTTTTATTCCTCTGTGATCTGAGAGTGCTTGATATAATTTCAATTATCTTAAATTTATTGAGGCTCATTTTATGCCCTATCATATGGTTTATCTCGGAGAAAGTTCCATGTGCTGTTGAATAGAATGTGTATTCTGCAGTTGTTTGATGAAATGTTCCATACTTGTCTGTTAAGTCCATTTGTTCCAAGGTATAGTTTAAATCCATTGTTTCTTTGTTGACTTTCTGTCTTGATGACCTGTCTAGTGCTGTCAGTGGAGTATTGAAGTCTCCTACTATTATTGTGTTGCTGTCTATCTCATTTCTTAGGTCTATTAGTAATTGTTTTATAAATTTGGGAGCTCCAGTATTAGGTGCATATATGTTTAGGATTGTGATATTTTCCTGTTGGACAAGACCTTTTACCAATACATAATGTCCGTCTATCTTTGTCTCTTTTAACTGATGTTGCTTTAAAGTTTGTTTTGTCTGATACAGGAACAGCTACCCCTGCTTGCTTTTGGTGTCCATTTGCATGAAATGCCTTTTTCCACCCCTTTACTTTAAGTTTATGTGAATCCTTATTTGTTAGGTGAGTGTCCTGAAAGCAGCAGATAGTCTGTTGGTTAGTTCTTATTCATTCTGTAGTTCCGTATCTTTTAAGTGGAGCACTTAGGCCATTTACATTAAATGTTAGTATTGAGATGTGAGCTACCATTGCATTCATCATGCTATTTGTTGCCTGTGTACCTTGGTTTTTTTGTTTTTGCTTTTTAAGTTGTATTTTGTTTTATATATCCTGTGTGATTTATGCTTTAAAGAGGTTCTGTTTTGATGTGTTTCCAGGGTTTGTTTCAAGATTTAGAGCTCCTTTTAGCAGTTCTTGTAGTGGTGGCTGGGTAGTGGTGAATTCTCTCATCATTTGTTTGTCTGAAAACAACTGTATATTTCCTTCATATATAATGCTTAGTTTTGCTGTATACAAAATTCTTGACTGATAATTGTTCTATTTGAGGAGGCTAAAGATAGGGCCCCAATCCCTTCTAGTTTGTAGGGTTTCTGCCGGGAAATCTGCTGTTAATCTAATAGGTTGTCCTTTATACATTACCTGGTGCTTTTGTCTCACAGCTCTTAAGATTCTTTCTTTCATTTTAACTTTAGACAACCTTACGACAATGTGCCTAGGCGATGATCTTTTTGTGATTAATTTCCTAGGTCTTCTTTGTGTTTCTTGTATTTGGATGTCTAGGTCTCTAGCAAAGCTGGGAAGTTTTCTTCAGTTACTCCCCCAGATATATTTTCCAAACTTTTAGGTTTCTCTTCTTCCTCAGGTACACCGATTAATCTTAGGTTTGGTCGTTTAACATAATCCCAGACTTCTTGGAGGCTTTGTTCATATTTCCTTATTCTTTTTTCTTTGTCTTTGTTGGACTGGGTTAATTCAAAGACCTTGTCTTTGAGCTCTGAAATTTTTCTTCTACTTGTTCAATTGTATTGCTGAGATTTTCCAGAGCATTTTGCATTTCTATGTATGTGTCCATTGTTTCTTGAAGTTTTGATTGTTTTTTCTTTATGCTATCTATTTCCCCCTTCACGTCTGGTATCATTTTTTGGATTTCCTTGCATTGGGCTTTGCCTTTTTCTGGTGCCTCCCTGATTAGTTTAATAACTAACCTCCTGAATTCGTTTTCAGGTAAATCAGGGATTTCTTTTTGTTTTGGATCCATTGCTGGTGAACTAGTATGATTTTGGGGGGCTGGTAAGGAACCTTGTTTTGTCATATTATCAGAATTGGTTTTCTGGTTCCCTCTCATTTGGGTAGCCTCTGTCAGAGGGAAGGTCTAGAGCTGAAGGCTGTTGTTCACATTCTTTTGTCCCACAGGGTGTTCCCTTGATGTAGTACTCTCCCCCTTTTCCTATGGATATGACTTCCTGTGAGCTGAGCTGTAGTGATTGCTATCTCTTTTCTGGGTCTAGTCACATAGCAACTCTACCGAGCTCCTAGCTGGTACTGGGGGTTTTCTGCACAGACTCCTGTGATGTGAACCATCTATGGGTCTCTCAGCCATGGATACCAGCACAGTATTCGGGGAGTCTCCTGGGTCCTAAAGGAGAAGTCTGCTTCCTTCAGTGGGTCTGTGGGTCCTCTCGGGATCTGTATGAAGCTCTTGAAGTTCAAACTGAGATATAAAGGTGAAATAGGTCAATGCAAATATGGAGTATCTAACTTACATAATTTTTAATGTTTGTCTATTTTGAACTGTAGTAGCATTTACTTTTGCTTTAGGTTAACCCTTTAAAGCCTTCAGTTGCTCCAGTGGGAGATAGAATCATTCCCCCAGTTTTCTGAAGGAATAACCACTTTGAAATAGGAGCCAAGAGGAGAATCTATCCTCCCTCTGAGTGTTTATTGTTTTGAACACAGATTTCTGAGATATTATGTGTCTGGAGAGGACCAGAGTGCTGACATCATTTTTGACTTGAAAATATGTCTATGATAAAATAGGAGTCAACACATAGAATTGAGGTTCATAGAGTAGGCACACAACATTTTCATATAAAGTGATCCATCCCCTCAAACCAATATTAGGTTATGATATATTTACTTAACATACTGTAAACAGAGCTTTTACTTCATCAGTGTTAGAACATTAACCTTAGAAAGGACCTTAGAAATCTAGTTGATGTGTGAATTTTCAGAATCGATATCCAACCATTCTATAAATTACTGTGCTCTGTAACTTCATCTCCTCATGACATGGCCAGTCTAATTTAGGATAGCTCTATTAGTTGAATAGGTCTTTCTCATAAGGAGTTGAAATTCCTTTCTGTATCTTTGGATAGATGCTAGTTGCATTGGTACCTTTTGTAGGGATGATCCAAGGGATAGAGCTGTGACTGGTGGGTGAAATTTACTTGGAGGCTGATCATTATTATTTAAAAAAATTTCCCTGGTGAAAATTATCTTGGCATATAGAGTGGAGTGCTTCAGGGTGGTGGTGGTAATGAATTACCCCTCACTGAAAGAAAGAGTTTGAGTTAGGCTGAGTAATCAATGGACCAAGAATACTGCTCAGGAGAGTCAAGTATCTAAATAAAGATTGAGATAGGTGACATTTAAATGATTCATTTAACCCTGAGACTTTATGATAGACTTCTTTAGATGCCTCTTCAGGAATCCATATGTGTACACCCAACTGCCTGCTTGCCATCTCCATAGATATCTGAATATCATTTCAAACTCAACATATCTGACATTACACTCTTGATTTATTTTTTCAATTCTGCTTATTCAACTATCTTCCTCAATTTTCATGTCAGTAAGTGGGTCCTCTACATAGCCATCAAAATAATTCTTTAAAAACTCTCCTATCCCTTCTCATCTTACCTCCTGTTCACTTTGCCTGGAATGTCACTCTCTCCCTTCATATATTTGCATGTCTAACCCTTCATTTTCTCTGCCTCTGCTCAAATATCATCACTTCTGAAATGTTCTCCTGGACCACAATATCTGATGTAGCACTCCCTGGCACCCCTCTTTATTATTCTTTATCTCTCATATCTACTTTATTTTTCCATGGTAAATTGACATCACCATCTAATATTTATTTACTTGCTTAACTGATTATTGTCTGTCTCCCCAGTTAGAATTTAAGCTTCTTTGGGAAAGGAAATTTGTTATATTCATTGCTATATCCTCAGTGCTAGAACAATTCCTGGTCAATATTAGGTATTCAATAAATATATGTTGAAATGATGTTAATGGATAATAATAGAGATTTAGTGTAAACAGGAAAATAAAGAGTAAAAATGTAGCATAAGCTAGCATATACAGGAAAAGAAAGGAAAGGTTCTTATTAATTTTTCATAGCAAAGCAAAATAACTTAAGGGCTTTGATGCATGCTCACAGAATCTTCCGTTCAAACCAGCCATTTTCCTATGAACCTTGAATGGTCATTAGTCCATACGTTCACTCTTGGCTTTCATTTCAAAAGGAATGGAGACATTGCAAACGTCATCAGCACTGATTGTAACCAGTTTCTGTAGAGAATACAGATCCCCAGACATACCAGATACCAGAGTTGGCTGACACTGAAAGATAGCCAGGGGTGAGAAATAATCATTGGTTTTACCCCTAAATCAGTTTTATAGGTGGAAGACAAGATCTGTCTTTGTTATCTACAGGGAGATCCTTATTTGCCCCTTCCACAGATACAGTCTTTCTAATTCCAAATCCTCTGGGTCTAGGCTTTCTAACCTGTGCAAATTATAAGTTTTAACATAACAAACAAAGTATTTGTTTAAACATAACAAACCTCCTATCTCAATTAAACTTAGATGGGATGACAGTCACTTTCAATTTTGCCACAAAAAAA
Organism: Homo sapiens; assembly: GCF_000001405.40. NCBI lineage: Eukaryota > Metazoa > Chordata > Mammalia > Primates > Hominidae > Homo > Homo sapiens. The sequence continues at coordinate 76,976,240 of NC_000012.12, forward strand.
TGTAATTACTTCTCTTTTTTGCTTTAATAAAATAGCTTTGTTCTAAATAATAATACATAATGATTTGTACATTTTTCTAAAATTAATGTTACTATATTTTACATCTATTTTTCAGTTTCTATTAATAACAAGAAAATCAATATTCTCTGAGTGTATACATTTTAAATCTTTCCTATGCAACAATTATTTTCTTTTTCTTTTCTTTTCTTTTTTTTTTTTTTGAGACAGAGTCTCATTCTGTCACCCAGGCTGGAGTGCAATGTCATGATCTCGGCTCACTGTAACTTCCGCCTCCCAGGTTCAAGTGATTTTCTTGCCTCAGCATCCCAAGTAGCTGGGATTACAGGCATGTGCCACCATGCCCAGCTAATTTTGTATTTTTAGTAGAGATGAGGTTTGACCACGTTGGTCAGGCTGGTCTCGAACTCCTGACCTCAGGTTATCCACCTGCCTAGGACTCCCAAAGTGCTGGGATTATAGGTGTGAGCCACTGCGCCCGGCCCACAAGAGTTTTAAATGCTAGTGGGGAAAGCAGTGGATTTTTATTTTTCTTAAAACTTGAATACATCATCTTATAACTATTATATCATAGAATTTAAATTTGTTGAGAACAAATTTTGTGGGGATTATTTATTTAAGGTCTGGAAGACTTCTATTTTAATGAGAAATGTATCAGAGAAAATAAAGAAAAATGTTTCTAGATTCTTCAAGGAATGAAGTTGTTTTCTTAATGAGTCACACTTAGGGTGATACATTAAATGAGAGAAACGTGGTTGTCAATCTATTCTATTCTGGAACAGTTTAGCAACTTGTGAAATATCAGACCGTTTGGACCAATATCCCCACTTCTATGCATTTTCCCTATGGGGATGATCATACAAGAGTGAAAAGACATAAGCACATGAATGTTTCTTATAAATCTGTTTTTAATATAGAAAACTTGGAAACATCCCAAATATTCACCAGTAGGGGAATGATTAAGTAAATTACTGCACATACAAATAATAAAATTCTCAAGTCATTAAACTTGATGTAGCTCAACATTTATTGACATTAAGTGATATTTGTGACATACTGTTGAGTCAAAAAAACAAGTGAAAAATGTCTAAGTATGGTTCCATTTATGTAAAATTATATTCTTCTCTTTAGAAAGACATTCACTGAATTTTTTTTTATGATTATTTACAGGGAATGGAATTTTGATTTTTTTGTTCCTTAGGCTTTTTTGGTTTTTACAATTCTATTAGGTATATATATAATTTTAATAAAAACAATGTGAGTTTATAGGCAAATTTCTTAGAATGAAGTAAAATGTAATTGGAAACATACTGCTTGGAACTATTTATGGAAGCAAATCTAACTGAAGTCAATTTGGAATCAGTTTGTTTAATGTAAGAAAAATATTGGAAATAATATTATATAAAGAATTTCTTAATGAAAATAAAATTTTAAAAAGAATTTTAAAAGATAATATAAACACCATAACCTAAAATGTCATTTTTCCTAGCTTCATTGAGGTATAATTAAAGATGAAAATTATATATCTTTGAGGTGTATGACATGATGTTTTGATATAGGATATATTAGAAAATGTTTACCACAATCAACCTAACTAACATATCCATCACCTCACCTAGTTATCATTTCTTTTTTCTAGTGAGAACACTTGAGATCTACTGTTTTGACTAATTTCAAGTATACAATAAATTATTGTTAGCTGTAGTTATCATGCTATACATTAAGTCGGCAGAAACTACTCATCCTATAACTGAAAGTTCTATCCATCAACATCTTCCTTCACCCTACTCTCCTGCCTCAAGCCCCTAGTAACCTCCATTCAATGCTCTGTTACTATGAAATTGACTTTACCTTCCATTCTGTGTATGGCTTGTTTCATTTAGCATAATGTCCTTCAAGTTCAACTATGTCACAAATGACAAGATTTCTTTCATTTTAAGGCTGAATAATATTTCATTATATATATAATATTCATATATATATCCTTTTCTTTCCATTCATCTCTCAATGGACAATTAGGTTGTTTCCATATCTTGGCTACTGCGAATAATGCTGCAATGAACATGGGAATGCTAATATCTCTTTGTGATAGCAATTTTATTTCTTTTGGATATATACCAAGAAGTGGGATTTCTGGGTCAAACATTAGTTCTATTTTTAATTTATTAAGAAACTACCATACACTTCCCATAATGGCTCTTCCAATTTATATTCCCACCAATGTTTTATAAGGGTTTGCTTTTTTCTTAACATCCTAACCAATACTTGTTTTCTTTTGACTTTTTTTGATAACAACCATCCTAACTAGCGTGAGGCAATATCTCATTGTGGTTTTGATTTGCATTTCCTTGATAATTATTGATGTTTGTATACTTGTTGGACATTTGTATGTCTTCTTTGGAAAAATGTTTCTTAAGATTCTTTACCTATTTTTAATCAAGTTATTTGGTTTCTTTTTTTTTTCTATTGAACTGTAGGAATTCCTTGTATATTTTGAAATATATGATGATATTATATTTTATATACTTTTATGTATTTTGGACCTTAACTCCTTAATAGATATGTGCTTGCAAATATTTTATCCCATTCTGTGTGCTGTCTTTTCATTTTGTTGAATGTTTTCTTTGCTGTGCAGAAACTTTTAAGTTTGATGTAGTCTGACTTTTAAATTTTTGTTTTGTTTCCTGTACTTTGATGTCAAATCCAAAAAAATCATTGCAAAGACCAATGTCATAAAGCTTTTCCCCTATGTTTCTTCTAGGAGTTTTACAGTGTCAGGTCTTACACTTAAGTCTTTAATCCATCTTGAATTAATTTTTGCACATGGTGTAAGATAAGGGTCCAATTTCATTCTTTTGCTTGTGGATATTCAGTTTTCCCAACACCATTAGTTGAAGAGACTGGGCTTTCCCCATTGTTTATTCTTGGAGCCTTTGTCAAAAATTAGTTGACAATATGTGTGTGGGTTTATTACTGGGATCTCTATTTTGTTCCATTGGTCTATGTGTCTGTTTCTATGCCAGTATCATACTGTTTCAATTACTATAGCTTTGTAATACAACTTGAAATCAAGAAGTGTGATGCTTCCAGCTTTGCTCTTTTTGCTGAAGATTGCTTCAGCTATTTGGAGTCCTTAGGGGTGCCATATGAATTTTAGGATTGTTTTTCTATTCTGTGAAAAATGCCACTGACATTTTAGTAAGAATTGCATTGAATCTGTAGATCAGTTTGGGGGCATTTTAAAGAACATTATTGTATGAACATTTTAACAGTATTCTTCCAATCCATGAACATGGATATCTTTCCATTTATTTGTGTTTTCTTTAATTTTTTTCATCAATATTTTACAGTTTTCAGTGTATAGGTATTTCAACTCTTTTGTTAAAATTGCTCCTTTTTATTCTGTTTGATGCTGTTGTAAATAGGATTGTTTTCTTAATTACCACAGCATCAAACAGAATTAGTTACATTGTTATTGTTAGTGAACATAAACATAACTAATTTTTGTATGTTGATTTTGTATCCTGCAAGTTTACTGAATTCATTGATTAGTTCTAACAGTTTTTTGGTGGAGTATTTATGGCTTTCTGTATATAAGATTATGTCATTAGCAAACAGAGGTAATTTTACTTTTCTTCTCCAATTTAGATGCCTTCTATTTCTTTTTCTTACTCTGGCTTGGACTTCCAGTACTATGTTGAATAGAATTGATGAGATGAGCACCTTTGTCTTTTAGTTTTTCACTGGTGAGAATGACATGAGCTGTGGGTTTGTTATATATCCTTTAGTATGTTGAAGGACATTCCTTCTATACCTAATTTGTTGAGAGTTTTTATCATATAAGGATGTTGAATTTTGTCAAATGCTTTTTCTGCATTTATTGAGATGCTCATGTAATTATATTCTTCATTTTGTTAATATGTGGTTTTACATTTATTGATTTGCATATGTTAAACCATCCTTGCATCTGAGGAATAAATACCACATGATCATGGTGAATGATCCTTTTAATTTGATGTTGAATTCAGTTTGCTTGTATTTGTTTGAAATTTTTGCATCTATGCTCTTCAGGGATATTGGCCTGTAATTATCTTTTCTCATGGTATCCTTGTCTGGCTTTGGTATCAGGATAATGCTGACCTTGTAAAATGAGTTTGGCAGTATATCCTTGCCTTCAATTTTTTGGAAGAATTTAAAAAGAATTGGTACTAATTTTTCATTAAATGTTTGATACAATTCATCTGTGAAGCCATTCAGTCCTTGACTTACCTCTTTTTTTGTTGTTTTTCTGAGATGGAGTTTCACTCTTGTTGCCCAGGCTGGAGCGCAATGGCGCAATCTCGGCTCACTGCAACCTCTGCCTCCCAGGTTTAAGCGATTCTCCTGCCTCAGCCTCCAGAGTAGCTGGGATTACAGGTGTACACCACCACACCTGGCTAATTTTGTATTTTTAGTAGAGACAGGGTTTCGCCTTGTTGGTCTGGCTGGTCTCGAACTCTTGACCTTAGGTGATCCGCCTGCCTCAGCCTCCCAAAGTGCTGGGATTACAGGCGTGAGCCACTGCACTCGGCCCCTTGACTTATCTTTTTAAGGAGAGTTTTAATTACTGACTTAATCTCGTTTTTGCTATTGGTCTGTTCAGATTTTCTATGTCTTCATGATTCAGTCTTGGTAGGTTGAATGTTTTCAGAATTTATCCATTTCTTCCAGGTTATTCAATTGTTTTGGTGTGTAATTGTTCATAGGAGTCTCATATATTTCTACGGTATCAGTTGAAATGTCTCCTCTTTCATTTATAACTTTATTTATTTGAGTCTTCTTTTCTTAATTAGTCTAGCTAGACATTTGTCAATACTTATCTTTTCAAAAAATAACTTAGTTTCAGTGATCTTTTGTATTGTTTTTCTCTTTATTTTGTTTATTTCTGCCTTTATCTTTTTTATTTTCTTCTATCTGCTGACTTGGGGCTTAGTATTTTCTCTAGTTTCTTGAGGTGTAAAGTTATATTTTTTATATGAGATCTTTTTTTCTTAATGTAGGCATTTATCACTGTAAAATTTCCTCTTAGAACTGCTCTTGCTGCATCCTATAAGTTTTAGTATGCTGTGTTTTCATTTTTGTTTGTCTTAAAATACTTTTTGAGTTCCCTCTTGATTTCTTCTTTTATCTATTGGTTTTCAGGAGTGTGTTGTTTAATTTCCATATATTTTTGAATTTTTCTATTTTCTTTATACTACTGAATTCTAGTTTTATACCATTTTGGTTAGAAGAGACACTTGATATAATTTCAATCTTCTTAAATTTGTTAATCCTTGTTTTGTGGCCTAACACCTGATTTCTTACAGAGAATTCTATGTGTGTTTGAAAACAATGTATATACTGCTGCTGTTAGGTCAATTGTCCTATATATGTTTGTTGGGTCTATTTTGTCTATAGTGTTATTCAAGTCTGCTGTTACCTTATTGATTTTCTATCTGGATAATCTTTGTATTGTTGAAAGTGGGGTATTGAAGACCCCTACTATTATCATATGACCATCTATATCTATCTTCATTTCTGTTAATATTTAATTTGTATCTTTAGATGTTCTGATGTTGGGTACATATATATTTACAATTGCTATGTATTCTTGATGAATTGACTCCTTAATCATTATGTAACATAATACTTTGTCTCTTATGGCAGTTTTTTACTTAAAGTCTGTTTTATCTGCTGTAAGTATAGCCTGCTCTGTTTTGCTTACCATTTGCTTGAAATATCTTTTACCATTCCTTTATTTTTAACCTATGTGCACCCTGAAAGCTAGTCTCAGGTGCACAGTGTGTAATTGGATGTTGTTTTTTTAAATAGATTTGGCCACTTTGTCTTTTGATTGGGGAATTTGATCCATTTACATTTAAAGTAATTATTGATAGCTAAGCAGTTACTACTGCTATTTGTTAATTATATTGTGACTCTTTTATAGTTCTTTTGTTCCATTCATTCTTTCTTCCTGTCTTTCCTTGTGACTTGATACTTTTCGTAGCGGTATGCTTTGATTCCTTTTTCTTTCTCTTTTGCCTATCTACTACAGATTTTTCCTTTATGGTTACCATGAAGCTTACATAAAACATCTTAAAATTATAGCACTCCATTTTAAGCTAATAATTATTTAACCTTGACCACATACAAATCTCCACATTTTAACTTCTCCTCTCCAAACATTTTATGTTATTGATGTAGCAATTTATTTTGTTTTAGAGATGGAGTCTCTCTCTGTCACCCAGGCTGAGCAGTGGTGTGATCTTGGCTCACTGCAACCTCTGCCTCCTCAGTTCAAGTGATTTTCCTGCCTCAGCCTCCTGAGTAGCTGGGATTACAGGCATGCACCACCATGCCCAGCTAATTTTTGTATTTTTAGTAGAGATGGGTTTTTGCTGTATTGGCCAGGCTGGTCTTGAACTCCTGACCTCAAGTGATCTGCCCACCTTGGCCTCCCAAAGTGCTGGCATTCCTGGCATGAGCCACCATGCCCAACCCTGCAGTTTACAATTTTGTGCATCATGTATCCATTAACAAATTATTGTAGCTGTAGTTATTTTTAATACCTTTGTCTTTTTATTTTTGTACTATACTAGAGTTAAAAGTGATTTTATGCATCACATTATTATTCTAGATTTGACTATATTCTTACTTTTAGAGTGAGTTTCATACTTTCCTATATTTCCATGTTGTTAGTTAACATTGTTTCACTTTAATTTGAACTACACCCTTTAGCATTTTTTGTAAGGCAGGTGGAATGGTGATAAACTCCCACAGGCTTTGTCTGGAAAAGTCCTTACCTCTCCTTCATTTCTGAAGAATAGCTTTGCTGATTATGGTATTTTTGGTTGATAGGTTTTTCTTCTTTCAGTACTTTAAGCATATCATTCCACCCTCTTTTGACCTGGAAGGCTTCTGCTTAGAAATCCCCTGATAGCCATATATGGGTTCCTTTGTATGTAATGAGTTGCTTTTGTCTTTTTGCTTTAAAAATTCTTTGTCTTTGACTTTTGACAATTTGATTATAATGTGTCTCAGTGAAGATCTCTATAACTAAATACAAATTTAATTTACTTAGGGTTCTTTGTGCTTCATGGATGTAGATATTCACTTCCCTCTCCAGATCTGGAGATTTTTCTGCCATTATTTCTTTAAATGAGCCTTCTACCCCTTACTCTTCCTCTGCTCTTTTGTGACTTTCACAATACATATATTGGTTCACTTGATTGTGTCCCATACGTCCTGTAGGCTTTCTTTATTCTTTTCATTTCTTTTTGTTTTTCTGGGTTACTTCAAATGGCCTATGTTCAAGCTCACTGGTACTTCTGCCTGATAGAGCCTGCTGTTAAAGCTTTCTAAGGTATTTTTCAGTTTGGTCACTGGTTCTTTAGCTTTGGAATTTATGTTCGGTTCTTTTAAAAATAATTTCTATGCTTGAACTCCTTGTTGAGCTTTTCATTTTGTTTGTATATTGTTTTTCTGATTTTTTTATATTTTTTTCCAGGTTCCAAATGTGTTTTTTATTCACTATTTTTGATGACTATAAATAAGTGTTTCCACTATGGAAAAGAAAGTTGGCACAGTACATTTTCATGACTGGGGAATGGGTTTTCTGAAGTCATCTTCAATATGGCAAAAACTTAAGAAACAAACAAAAAAAAACAACCTGAATGTTGAATTCAGTTCTTTATATAACGTCCCTTGTAAAAATGAAAGAATAAACCGAAAAAGAGGGGCAGGGTAAAATTTTTTTTAAAAAAAAGAAAGGAAAGAGAGGAAAAGGAAATAAAATAAGACGATTTATTGCTTCTCCTCAGCATCCTCCTTGGTCTCCTCCTTCACCGAGAGAGCTTCTAGCTTTTTTGCCACTTTTTTGGCATGATCGTTTTTGCCTGATCCTGCTTTCTTTTCTCTCTCTTCGATCTCTTTTCTGCATTCTTCAAACTTTGTTTTGAATTTCTGTGCATTCTCAGCATTCAGGAAGCAGATGGCCAGCAGCTCCGGCTTGGGTACTGGTCGGCGAAGTCAGCATGGGTGTTCCAGACCCAGGCACGGTCACTACCTGCTTGGGCTTCAGCTCCATCATCCGCATGATGTAGTGGTTGGCACAGATATTCAGGGTCTTGTCCCTCTGCATGAGGAGGCGGATGGCCCCTTTCTCCTTGTGCTTCAGGAGCTTGACGTCACCAGTGCCTCGCTCCTTCCATTCTGGGAGATCGTTCTCTGAGGCAAATCAGAACAGTTTTGCCTGCATTTTAAAAAGTTCCTCTTCATCATCTTTCAGCGTTTTAATTTCTTGCTCAGGAAGACAAACTGAGAGTCATGGTTGTACTCGTCTGTATTCTCAGTGGAAGTATCATGGTCCTCACGAGTGTCCTTGGCGGCCGCCATGGGGGCGCAGCGGTGGCCGCTCACCTGGGTCTGTTATCGCTGGCTCCGCGGCCTCTCGGCGGCTACGTAGCTCCTTCCCGCCCGCTCTTCCCTCCGCCCCGCGACCTGAACCTCGACCCCTGACCCCAGCAGCAGGAAACGCATGGCGATTCAAAACCAGTACAGCTTTATTGGCTCAGGCAGCGGACACTCTCATTGTCCGGCCTGCCCCGGGCTTCCCGCCCCTGATTTTTTTTTTAAATGGAGTTTCACTCTTTTTACCCAGGCTGGGGTGCAATGGCACGACCTTGGTTCTTTGCAACCTCCACCTACCAGGTTCAAGCAATTCTCCTGCCTCAGCCTCCTGGGTAGCTGAGATTACAAGCGCCCACCACCACACCCAGCTAGTTTTTTGTACTTTTAGTAGAGATGGGGTTTCACCATGTTGGCCAGGCTGGTCTCAAACTCCTGACCTCAGGTGATCCACCCGCCTCATTCTCCCAAAGTGCTGGGATTACAGGCGTGAGCCACTGCTCCCAGTCTCTGATTTTTTTTTTTTTTTTTTTTTGTATACCTGTGTTCTCTTGTAGTTTACTGACCACAGGTGACTGCCTGGCACTAAAACAGGCCTAGAGGTTGGGTTTGCAGGGGCAGACCAGTGTTCTGGGGCCACAAGGGCCAGCCTAGAACCTGGGTCTACTGGGATAGATATGAACCATATGTCTGCTGGAGTGTGGGGCTGCAGTGGCTGCTGGTTACTGGGTGGGGATAGAGCCTGTATTTGCAGGAGCTGGCCTGGAACATAGGTACATGTGTGCTGGTTTGGTGACTGGAGTCATGGCGGCTGACCTGGAGCTGGGGTTCTTGGGTTCCAACCTGGCACAGGAGTCGGCCTGGAGGCTAAATCTGCTGGGAATTGGGACCTTGGAGGCCAGCAGCCAGCCTGGAGCCTGTGTTTGCAGGGGCTGACCTGACTCTGGTCATGTCTAGAGCCTGTGTCTTAGGAGGGTGGCCAGCTTAGGTCTGTGTGTGCTGGTCTGGTACCTGCAGCCACAGTAGTGTGTCTGGAGCCAGAATCCACAGCAAAATCAGATGCTCACTTCACTTTTTTTCTCCACTGGAAGAGTTTCTTTCTGCACGCTATGCTGCCCAGGCACGGGAAAAGGCAGTGCATCTTTTCTTATTTCTGTGCTACACCAAGGCGTTGCAATTTTTCACTTGAATCCTTTAGTTTGTTAAAGGTATTTTTGGGCATGGATAGTTGTTTGTGATGTTTCTCTAACAGAATAAGTGCTGTAAAGTCCTATTCTGCCATCTTGCTGATGTCACTCCCCCATATTTCTTGACAGTAGATACTGCCATTGCTCATTTAGTTTCCCTCCCTCCCCTTTTACTTCTTCTTTATACCCCTCCACTGTCTTTAATGTGATTTTACTTTTAACAGCTTCTAACCTGTCACTCTTCTTCAAAGGACTGTCCTTAGGCCACTGGAACAGCTTTACTCATAGACACAGAAAACTAGAAGAGTCTGGGAGTTTTTGATCCCCTGCAATGATGCTTACCCAATGAGTAATCACTTTGGGAGATGAAAGTCTACCTTCCTTGCCTTAGGACGCAACGACTTTGAGGCTGTAACTTATACTTCAGAATCTCCTATGGAATCAGACTGAAACTACCCACCTAGGAATTTGCTAAAACCATAGCATCCTTGGTTTCATTGTTTTTCTTTTTCTTTCTTTCTTTCTCTTTTTTTTTTTTTTTTTTTTTTTGAGATGGAGTTTCACTCTTGTTGCCCAGGCCGAAGTGCGATGGTGCATCTCAGCTCATGCAACCTCTGCCTCCCGGGTTCAAGTGATTCTCCTACCTCAGCCTCCCAAGTAGCTGGGACTACAGGTGCCTGCCACTATGCCCGGCTAATTTTTGTATTTTTAGTAGAGATGGGGTTTTGCCACGTTGGCCAGGCTGGTCTTGAACTCCTGACCTCAGGTGATCCGCCCACCTTGGCCTCCCAAAGTGCTGGGATTACAGGCGTGAGCCACTGTACCTGGCCCATTGTTTTTCTTTGTTATGTTTCCCCCTCTTCCTTATCAGCTTCTTATGGAAACACTTCCTTGCACACAAATCCTCATCTCAAAGTCTGCTTCAGAGGAATACAACATGACATAGGTCCAACATTGCTTTCCAAATATTTCTAATGAGTTTCCAGAATTGAATTTAACAACACAATATCCATATCTTCCACATTAGACTAAAAGCTCTTTGCTCTTTGAAGGCAGACAGAAATGTTTGATTCTGATACTTATTTGCCATTGAAACTGAAAATAAAAGTTTACACTCAGTGAGCCAAATTAGTGAATAATTGGAAGGCATAGGGTCAGTAGTCAGTAATTTTATTTAGGATTGTCCCTAGATGAATGAAGTGAGAAGTCTATGTCTCTCATTATAATCCTTGTGACTAAATTAGTCTGATGTCTCCAGACAAAAGATGCTTCATTTCTATCAACCACTGTTAAGGATTGGATGATAAAAATGCATTCTACCTTAAACATTTCTTAATTCTAAAGAACCAGATGAATAAGGGCAGTACTTCCTCTTCACTCAATTATGATAAATTACCTTATCTTTTATATTGTGTTGGAGAGCCAGGGGAGTGATTGAAAGTTCTTTTTGTTGCTTTTCAATTTGTCCTTGCTTGCATAGTTCTTGAAATTAGAGGACATATGTGGTTTGTAGAAGTCAAGCTGGTAAGCTTGTAATCAGTGTAATATAATGAAAGTCATCTAATTGAGGTCTGTTTAGTTTTCATTTTCTACATAATGGGGGCATAGTAAGTATTATGGGATATTAAGTTAACTAGTGATATTTTACTATTCATGCCTAGCATGAAAATCAATTTCCCATTGATTTGATTTAGTTCTGTGCATCAGGAAGTAGATAACTAAAGAAAGGGATTAAAGTATTAAATTTAGTTTCTTTCCTTAGTCATTCATCCTTAGAAACCATTACATTATTTATCCCTCACTCTGTGGAAAAGTAAAATCCTCTCCTCAGATAAGTTTTATTTTCTATAAGTGTTTTTTGTAATCCCAGTATATATTTGCTGTTCAAGAAATAAGTGGTCAGAACTATAATTTGTCTAATGACTTCATTATAAATAGAAATGTAATTTAGATGTTCATTCTCTTTTACTTCATTTTTTTCCTTTCACAGTTATTTTTCACAACTTGGTAGTATCAAGAAAAATAAGACGTAGCATAAAAAGAATTATTTTCTTTCTGCTCTAAGGATCAGTTAATGAATATATATGCATAACCCTCCTCACAAGGAAGATTAACGATTTTGAAACTTTTCCCCACCTGCAACAGGGACACTTGAAGCACATCTTTTCTGAAGGTGGACCCCTGAGATTTGGGTTCTGCCAGGTAACATGGGACGAGAGATCAAAATTAGTCAACAGCTGGATGTACACTAAATATTTGTTTCCTTTTATTATTTTTCAAGCTCTCTTGGATTGCATCTTTTAGAAACACCACAGTTGTGCTTATTAAATTGAACAAGTTAACAAATATAAAGTACTTAGAATAGCTCCTGGAACATTGTAAGTTCTCAGTAAATATTAATTATATTGTAGGTCCCCAAACCCTTCTCTTAAACCTTTGGAGTCAGATGTATTTTTGGGATTCAGAATTTTTTGGATTTTGGAACAGTATGCATAGTATCTCTAGCACCCCAAAATCAAACACATTGAAATTTCTGCATTGAAACACATGAATATTCACACAAAGTATAGTATATACTATATAACAAATAGTCTCATGTTAATTCAGGTCAGATTTTACCACTGAATACATTATTTGAAAACTTAGGGCTTTTGGCCGGGTGTGGTGGCTCATGCCTGTAATCCCAGCACTTTGGGAGGCCGAGGCAGGTGGATCACTTGAGGTCAGGCGTTCAAGACCAGTCTGGCCAACACGGTGAAACCCCGTTTCCACTAAAAATACAAAAACTAGCCAAGCTTGGTGGCATACGTCTGTAATCCCAGCTACTTGGGTAGCTGAGGCATGAGAATCGCTTGAACCCAGGAGGTGGAGGTTGCAGTGAGCTGAGAGCATGCCATGGCACTCCAGCCTGGGAGACAGAGTGAGATTCTGTCTCTAAATAAATAAATAAATAAACAGAAAAACACTTTGGTTTTTTAAAGCTCTTTGAGTTTTGTCATTATAGATAGGAATTATAAACTTATATCATCATCATCAGTTTTTCCTTAAAACTTACTTCTAAAACATACCTCCTTTTTTGGCACTAGATAGGGCCTAAATAAATAAGGAAGCAAACAAAATTCTTGGAATCCTCTTGTTAAAAAAAATTATTTCAAAGAGATTTTAATTGCATGAAAAAGACTTTACCAGAAGCATAGTAGATAATTATTTCATCAGAATTTTCTCTGGGAAATTATATATTCTGTCATTTTTCTGATCAAAATGTCTTTAGCTCCAAACAAACCTAAATTTCAATTCTGGTCCTGTCCTTTAGGGTGTGGGCCAATCAACTTCTTTTTGGAATTTCAAGGAAAAGCAGTTCAACAGCAGCAAATAGTCAGGACCAAATGAATATATTTACCTAACAGCCCTGAAAGAATATGAGACAAAGAAGGGCATCTTTATTTTAGACATCCATACAGACACATCAAACCTTTAAACTAAAACAGTCATTTGAATTTTATTGTCATCACTTTGAGATTTTACCAAGAAAAAATTTCTGAAGACTCTCAAAATGACAGTCCGTATTTATCCATATATTAACCATTCTAAATCACTTTATTCCTTTGTGTAGAAACGAGTTTCCATATGATATCATTTTCCTTCTGCCTAAAAAATGTTAACATTTCTTGCAGTGCATTTGTGTTAGTAATGGATCCTCAGATTTTGTGGTATGAATGTCTTTATTTACTTTTCTTATTAAAAGATATTTTTACTGGCTATAAAATTTTAGGATGAGTTTCTTTCAGAACTTTAAAAATGTCATTCCATTGTCTTTTGGTTGGCATAGTTTCTTATGAAAACCCATGGTTTTCTTCTGTAGTAATGTGTCCTTTTCTCCAACTGCTTCCAAGATTTCCTCTTCATCATTTGTTTTCAATAATTTTGGTTTATTTGTGTCTATCTTGCTTTCATTGGCTAAAAGCTCTTTGATCTGGTATATGGTGTTCATCAAACTTGGAAACTATTTGGCCATTAATTCTTCAAATGTTTTTCGAACCCTTCCTCTCCTTCGGGAACTCCAATTACATGTGTTAGACTGCTTGATATTGTCAATGATGCCTCAGTCTTTCTCTCAGTGATTAATTTGCAATAGTACCTGTCTTCAAGCTCTTTCTTTCTGTATTATCTAATCCACTGTTAATTCTATCTTTTGAGTTTTTCATTTAAAATATATTTTTCAGCTCTAGAAGTTCCCTTGCTTCCTTTTTATGTCTTCCTTTTCTTCTCCTCATTGGGTTCATATTTTAAATTCTTTAGAATATTGAATATATTTTTAATAGTTGTTTTAAAGTTATTATCTGCTAATCCCATCATTTGTGTCATTTCTGGGTCTCTTTCTATTGACTAATTTTTCTCCTGCTATGGGTCACATTTTCCTGCATTTTCATATATGTGTCAATGTTTTATTGGATACTTCACCTTGTGAATTTTATATTGTTCCATGGTGAATATTAATGTATTCATTTAAAAGATGTTGGATTTTGTTCTGGTAGGCAGTTAAGTTACTTTACGATTGACTTGAGCCTTTGAAGTCTTTATTTATAAATTTTCTTAGGGTAGGTATAGAGTAGCATTTAAGACCAGGCTATTTTTAGCCCCACTACTAATGTGTAACCCTTCTCAGATGTCTACTGAAGACATTTGTATTTCACAAAGTCTCTACTTTTGCCATATGTGAACCATTTGTGAGCCCTGAGAATTGCTCGACTTAACCTCTCTGGTAGTTGTTCTTTCCCTAACACTTATTCTTTGCTTGGCTTCATGGAATTTCTCCCTACATGAGGGTAGACTGGCATTCAGCCAAAATCTCAAGGGGATGCCCTAGCAGATTTCCAGAACTCTCTTTTTTTAAAAAAATAATTTCCTCCTCTCTACTACTATGCCCCATTAATATTAGCCTCCAAAGTCAAAACTTCAATCTCTGTCTTCTCAACTCAGCAAGATTGCCAAGCTGTTTGGTGTCTGCCTCTCTATACTGAAATCCAGAACGTGCCTCTAGGCAGAGAGCCAGGGCAGTCATGGACTCACCTAATTTGTTTTCCCTCTCTCAAGGATCACAGTCCTGTGCTGCCTATTACTTAATGCTTAAAGATAATTGTTTTATATATTTGTCTAGTTTTCTAGTTGTGTATTGCAGAGGGTAATTCTGTAGCCTTGGCAACTTTTTAGCTCTGTGACCTGGGCAAATTACTTTGTCTGTCCAAACTTCACTTTTCTTATTAGTAAATGAGGATTATACTCTAATGACTTTTAGTGTGGTGAGTATTAAATGAAATAATGTGTCGAGTACTCTGCCCATTGTAAGTTCTCAGTAAAAGGTCACTGCTGTCAACAATTTAAAGTCAAAAGTCACACAAAAAAACTTTATGGAACCAATTAGGCCTTTTCAGATTGAGATGTTCCATCTTATTGAGTGATTTATTTTTCCGTTTTGTTTTGTTTTGTTTTCCTCTGTACTCATCCACTCACAATAATTGGCTAAGGTCCTTCTAACTTGAACAACAGAAAGTGAAGATAGGCCAAAAGATCATGAACTTGAAGGTTTATATGTGACTGTAAACAACAGAATACAGTGTACCTAGAGCAATAGCTGGAAAACTAGCTAAGCCTGGCTGAACATCAACAAGATAGTCATGTATGAAATGAGAAAGAGGTAGGGAATGAGTATAAGCAAACAAAAGCCATAGCAATTTATGGGACTGATGAGTTTGTAATAAGGATGATTTCACCTTCAAGTAATGGCAAACCCTTATTCAAAGTGCTTAAAACAATGGTAAATGTATTATCTCATATGATACCTTTATAATACATACCTGTCCAGGGGCAGGGTAGATTCCCGGTGCATTGTATCAGTGCCTTGGCTCTGCCTGTGCTTCTCTGTGATTCTTTGATCTCTGCCTGACTTTGTTAGCTTCATCTTTGGGTTGTCATGACTTAACAACATCTGGAAAATGAAGAAGAATCTTCTCATCCAATTCTCTTTCTTAGGAGTAGATAACTTTTTACTAGAAGCTCTACCTGCCATCTCCCAGCACAGATATGTACTCACCTCTCCTTGGCTAAATAAGGTTAAGTGCCTGTTCCTAAACCAAGGAGGGAGTGGGTTAACTGATTGGCTTACGCTAATCATGTGAGGTAAATGGATGTTGGAGGGTCAACTACTATGATCACCACACAAAAAAGAGTAGATTTTTTAGGGTTTAAAGTAAGCAGGGGTTGCACATATCATTTTGCTTCATATGAAACAATTACAGATGTTCCTTGACTTCTGATGGGGTTATGTCTTGATAAGCCCACCATAAATTAAAAATATCATAAGTAAAAAATGTATTTAATGGCCCAATAAACCTATTGTTAAGTAGAAAATCTGTAAAGTCAAACCATTGTAAGTTGAGGAATGTCTGTATTAGTGTCATTTTGGTGATTGGTGAAAGAGTGTAGAATGACATGTTAAGGAGTAACAGATCTACAAAGTACTGCAGGGCTTGGCCCTGGAGACCACCTCCTCACTGTGGAACCTTAGCTTGAACAGTTCTAGGTTGCTGTGGAGTTAATGACCATTCTATCTTGCGGTGCTTCTAACTCTAACAGGGAAGACTGTGGTCTTGGTTAAACTGATATTTATTTATTGGGTTAGACTCAACCAACTTGGAAGCTTACTTTTATCCTAAGTTTATTTTAAATTGGTCACAGCAAAATTTCACACAAAAAATTAGTCAGTTAATGAGAAAGAGAAAATGATATTTTGGTCACAAAGTTGGGAAGTCCATCAGCCATTTCTTAGTTGGCATAATCTTGAAAGCATTTTACTCTAGATAGTTATGGGCAAACTGTAAAAGTAGTAGGAACGACTGAATTTTGAAATAAGAATCTGGCCATACCACACCCAACGAGAGCTCTTTTACTAAGTGGAAATATCAGGTAGCTTTAGGAGCTGGCAAAGATAATTTTTAGTAGAAAATGAACTTTAAAACTTTCTTTTTTCTTTTTAAGACACGGTCTCAGGCACTCACAGGCTGGAGAGCAGTTGCGAGATTACAGCTCTCTGCAGCCTTGACCTCCCTGGGCTCAGGCAATCCTCCCACCTCAGCCTCCTGAGCAGCTGGGACTACAGGTGTGTGCCACCATGCCTGGCTAATTTTTGTATTTTCTTTAGAGACGGGGTTTCGCCATATTGCCCAGGCTGGTCTCAAACTCCTGGACTCAAGCCATCTGCCCACCTTGGCCTCCCTCCCAAAGTGTTAGGATTACAAATGCGAGCCACTGTGCCCAGCCAAAACTCTTTTTTTTAAAGTTCAACTACTCCTGACTAAAAGCGTTAATGCACTTACCTTTAATGTAAAGAGTATTTTCTGAAGCTCAAATTTTAACTAAACATGAAAAGTTGTTGAATTTTGTCAAATGCTTTGAACTTTTTCATGAATACTCTCAACAAACTAGGAATAGAAAGAAATTACCTCAACATAATAAAGGCAATATATAAAAATCCCACAGCTAACATAGTACTCAGTGGTGAAAAATTAAAGCTTCAGCTTTAAGAGTGTGAACAAGGCAAAGATGCCCACTCTCACCATCTCTGTTTAACCTAGTATTTGAAGTCCTGACCAGAGAACTTAGGCAAGAAAAAGAAATAAAACATCCAGTTGGAAAAGAAGCAGTAAAATGATCTCTGTGTGCAGATGGCATAATCATATATACAGGAAACTTTAAAGAAAACTGTTAGAACTAATAAACAAATTTAGTAAAGTTGCAGGATACAAAATCAACATAAAAAATTAGTTGTGTTTGTACACACTAACAATGGACTATTTGACAAGTCTAACAATGGACCCTTTGACAAGGAGATTAAGAAACAATCCTACTTATAATAGCACCCAAAAGCATAAAATACCTAGGAATAAACTTAATTAAGCAAGTGAAAGACTTGTACACTGAAAACTATAAAACTTTGATGACAGAAATTAAAGAAGGCACAAGCAAGTGGAAATACTTCTCATGCTCATGGATTGGAAGAATTCATATCATTAAAGTGTCCATACCATCCAAAGTTACCTGTATATTCAATGCAATCTCTACTAAAATCCTAATGACAATTTTTACAGAAGCAGAAAAAACAAACCTAAAATTTGTGTGGAACGACAAAGGTCCCGAAATAGCCAAAATAATCTTGAGAAATAAAAACAAGACTGAAACATCACACTTCCTGATTTCAAAATATGTTACAAAGGCCCCTTCTTTGAAAATAAAAAAAAAAATTACAAAGCTGTAGTCATTAAAACAGTATGATACTGAAATAAAGATAGACATATAGACCAATGGAACAAAATAGAAAGCCCTGAAATAAACCCATGCATATGCAGTGAACTAATCTTTGACAAGGGTGCTAAGAATATGCAATGGAGAAAGGATAGTCTCTTCAACAAATGGTGCTGGCAAAACTATGCAAAAAAATGAAATTAGACCCTTATCTCACACCATACACTAAAAACAACTCAAAATGAATTAGAGACTGAAATATAAGACCTGGAACTGTAAAACTCATAGGCAAAAACATAGGAAAAAATTTTCAGAACATTGGTCTTGACAATGATTTCTTGGATATGACACTAAAGGCACAGGCAACAAAAGCAAAAATGAACAAGTGGGACTATATCAAAGTAAAAACTTCTGTACAGCATAGAAAACAATGAGCAGAGTGAAACCACAACCTAGGGAGTGGGAGAAATATTTGCAAACCACATATCTGATAATAGGTTCATATCTAAAATACATAAGGAGGGGTGGGGAAAAAATTTTAAAAAATACATGAGGAGCTACAATCCCATAGCAAAACCAAAACAAAACCAAAAGAAATAATCTTGTTAGAAATGGGCAAAAGGACTTGAATAGACATTTCTCTAATGAAGACATACAAATGACCAATAGGTATATGAAAAGATGCTCAACATCACTAATTATCAGAGAAATGCAAACCAAAATCACAATATCACCTCATACTTGTTAGACTTGTCATAAAAAATCATAAGATAAGAATTGTTAGTAAGGATATGGAGAAACTGGAACCCTTGTACACTGTTGGTAGGAATCTAAAGTGGTACAGCTATTGTGAAAAACAGTATGGAGTTTCCTCAAAAAAATAAAAATAGAGTTATAACATGATCCAGCAATCTGTGTCTGAGTATTTATAGGAAAGAACTGAAATCAGGATCTTAAAGGGACATTGGCACTCCCATGCTCGTTGCAGCATTATTCACAATAGCCAAGAGGTAGAAACAACCTAAATATCCACTAATGTATGCATGCATATAGAAAATGTGTATGTAAAGACAATGGAATATTATTCAGCCCTAAAAAAGAAGGAAACCTTGCAATATGTGACAATGTGAATGAACCTGGAGAACATCATGCTAAGTGAAATAAGCTAGTCACAGAAGGAGAAATACTGTATAATTCCACTTATGTGAGGCATCAAAAGTAGTCAAACTCATAGGATCAGAAAATTAAAAGGTGGTTGCCAGGGGCTGGGAAAGAAGGAAATGGGAGTTACTGTTAAACAGGTCTAAAGTTTCAGTTATGCAAGATAAAATAAGTTCTAGAGGTCAGTTGTACATCATGCTTATAGTAACAATACTGTACTATACACTTAAACATTTGTTAGTAGATCTGATGTCAAATGTTTTTACTGCAATAAAAAAAAACTTTACCTAACCAAATGTGCAGTGATTTCTTTAACCATGTTTTCATCAATTTATTCAGCCTAAGAGTTCAGTTGAAGAAAAATTAAAGTGAAGACAAGAAGAAGAATATTTATCATTCAAATATTTCATTAGAGGATTTTATTTCTTTACACTTTTAGATATGCTTTGAGGGAACTGGTAGGAGATGATAAATGGGCTATCTTGTGTATTTTGATATTTTCAATGCTCTTCTAAGATGTCTAGCATATGCTAGCATAAAGGTCAACGTTTTAGGGGGCATTAATTATTTTTGTATGGTGACATTTATCCATCAAGTTTAATATATAGCATGTTCCAAAATAATATTGAGCTGGCTGTTTTCCCAGTTTGTAAATATCAAATATCCCCTTAGTCAAAAGCATAAGGATAGAATTAACATAAGAGAAATACCGTCCAGTAATCAGCTAAATCAGAGCTACAGAATTAAAAGAATACATATACAATTAAAAAAAAGTCAAGTGTACCAAAAGGTATAAATAAAATATGCCTTGACTTAGATGTGCTGTCTGGCTAGGGTTTAGTTAGGTTAAGGTTGGCATTAAACTTAAGCTGGAAATACATCTAACACACTACTTAAAATATACCAGGCAATGTTCTAAGCAATTCTCATCTAAGAGAATTGTTCATTTAAGCCTAACAACAACCCTATGAAGTAGGTACTATTATCTTCATTGTGTAGATAGAAGAACTGAGATACAGCAAAGTTAAGTGATGGGCACAGGGTCACCTAGCTGATAAGTGTTGAAGCCAAAATTTGAACCCCAGGCAGTTTCACACTGGTGCTCATATACACAACCAATAAACAATTTGACCCTGGAAGTGGGGAGATAACTTTCTGAGGATCTCAGCTCCTGCTACACTCAGGATCTTCAGTAATGCAGTACTAAATAGAGGACTGCTTAGAGGTTAAGGGCAGAGGTTTAAGAGCCAGTTCCTGTTGCTTAAGTTGCCAGGTAATCGTAGATAGTTTACTTGAATACCTCTGTTTCCTCATCTGTTAAACTGGTCTAATACAGATGCTCCTTGGCTTATATGATTGAGTTATGTCTTGGTAAACTAATCATAAGTTGAAAATATCATAAATCAAAAATGGATTTAGTACACCTACCAAACATTCTATCTTAGCCTAGCCTACTTTAAACATGCTCAGAATACTTTTATTAGCCTACAGCTGGGAAAAAAAAAAATCACCTAACACAAAGCCTGTTTTATAAAAAAATTGAATATCTCATGTAATTTATTGAATATTGTACTGAAAGTGAAAATCAGAATGGTTATATGGGTACTTGCTGTGGTTTGAATGGTCCCTTCCAAGTTCATATTGAAATTTAATTTAAATTCTGCCCACGTGAATGGATTAATCCCATCATTGCAGGAGTGCATTGGTTATCACGGGACTGGGCTCCTGATAAAAGGGTGAGTTAGGCCTCATTTCTCTCTGTCTCACACATTCTCCTGCCCTTCTACCCTTCCACCACATTTTGACACAGCAAGAGGCCCTTCATCAAATGCGGAACAGATGCTGGCCCCATATTCTTAGACTTCCCAGTCTCCAGAGCTCTGAGCCAAATAAACTTCTGTTCTTTATAAATTACCCAGTCTGTGGCATTCTGTTATAGCAGTAGAAAATGGATTCAGACAGTACTTGAAGAAGTATGGTTTCTACTGAATGCATATGGCTTTTGCATCACCTTAAAGTCAAAAAATCATAAGTAAGTCAAACTATTGTTAAGTTGGAGACTATCTGAAATTGCATGTAGCTCTTCCCAAAATTTACTATGCATTAGATCCCCAGAATGTTGTGATTCAATAAAACTGTGGCAGGGCCCAGGCATCTGCATTTTAAATAAGTGCCTCAAGTAATTCTGATATATTCTGTTCTTGAACAGCTTTTGGGAAATACTGAGAGATGAGATCATGCCTGTGAAATAATGGGCACAATCCTGGCACTTGACTGGTGGGCAGAAGTGCCAGCTCTTGTCTATTTCAGTGTAACACAGACAGACGTAGGAGGGGTCTCAGATCTCAGATGATATTGCAGATGAAGGAACGTATTATGCTAGGATGATGACAATGGCATCAACAAAGATGATAATGAAAATAATCAATATTCTAGTATCCTCTATTTTGGAACAGATATCATAAGCAGGAGAAAAGGAGGTTACCAGTTCCTTTTATTCCCATCCCCAAATCTCCTTAAAAGGACTTAATTAGGTTTGCCTTCAGGTTTAACAGAAGAGGTTTATTCTAATTTTAAGAGTCTTGGCCAGGCTTGGTGGCTCACACCTGTAATCCCAGCACTTTGGGAGGCTGAGGAGGGTGGATCATGAGGTCAGGAGTTCAAGACCAGCCTGGCCAACATGGCGAAACCCCATCTCTACTAAAAATACAAAAATTAGTCAGGCATGGTGTCAGGTGCCTGTAATCCCAGCTACTCATGAGGGAGGCTGAGGCAGGAGAATCGCTTGAGCCTGGGAGGCCGAGGTTGCAGTGAGCTAAGATCACGACACTGCACTCCAGCCTGGGTGACAGAATGAGACTGTCTCTAAAAACACAAAACACAAAAAACAAAAGAGTCCCTTGGCTAATTCTCTTCCCATGTTTCCTTACTTACTGGTTATGCCAATTTTCTTTACTGGAAATAATCTTTCACTATACAATTCAATGTAAAAAACAAAATATAAATGTCTAGATGAAGTAATGTTTAGTTTGAATATGCTTCAGCAAAATGTCATTAGCCATTCAACAAGTTCATATACCTCCTTAATAAATCCTTCCTTGTTTTAATAGAGCAAAGTAGTGAGGGAAACTTATGGTACCTAAAACAAGGGAGGGAAATCCACGAGGATGGGGAAGTGGAGTAAGGTGCAAAAAAGCACTGAATACGGAATACTAATCTATGTCTAGCTTTAATTGACTTTGTTCTTTTAGTTGGTCTGGTGCCCGTTAGAGCTCTGAAGGGTAATTTGTCATACAACTGCAAATACAGGCATCTGTTTTGCATAGTTTATGAACTTTAATTAAACACAATGTTTATTCAATTTTCTTAAACTCAGTTTTTAATGGAGGCAGGGTTATATTGTAGTGTAATGTCCGGGCCACAGAAATCTAGTCTTAAAATAGGCCCATAACCTATCTTATCATAACTAAATGTTGTGGATATGCTTCAATGTAACAACTTTTACACTACCAACAAAATACCTTAAAGTAGAAAATTTATAAAGCGTGCTCCATTCCCTTAATATATGTTAGAAATCATGGTGCATAAACATAAGTTGGAAGCGTTCAGGGACTGTAGCTTGGATTTTGGTGTAAAGCAAAAGGAAGGCTCCATGCCCCTGAAGGAAGGTACAGCATGAAGTTTGAAATTAGACTCACTGGGTGTGGGGTTTGTGTGACCTCCTGAAAATCACTTAACATCTCTGAACCTCAGATTCATAATGATGAGTCATGAGAATGGAATAAAATAATGCATGTAAAATGTCTATTACAATGTCTGGTGCATAACACAGAGACATTCAAGATGCAGTAGCTCTTATTGCAATTCCTTAAATGTTTATTATATTTTCCCTGCCTTAGAATCTCAATTTGCATGTGCTCAGAAAATTATTGTATATTTAAAAAGCTAACTCTGTTTTAGTTTCCAAAATTTTGTGTGTAAGGTGATTTGTGGTATTTAAATATATATAACAAATGCCATAGTCAGCACTTATCTGATTTTCAGCCTTAGAATCACTTAGAAAATGACCTGATGCTTGAAAGTGCAGCAGGCATTTTGTAACCGTGAGACCATACACATGAGAACAAAAGATACCTAATAATAGTGGAACAAAAAGACTGAGAGAGCCTGGGATTCTGATGGAATTATTAAGCCATTATTTTAGTGCTGGACTGCTTATCTCTGCACATCTTGTTATATTAGAAGAGTAAACCTCTATTTGTTTAAGTAACTATAGCTTAATTTCTGATACTTGCAGATAAATGCATTCCAGTCAATTAATAAAGACTAAACAATCCTGAATGAGATAAGGAGAGCACCTGAGACAGATGAATCAGCTGACAGAATGGGAGTATGCTTGTCACTAAATAGAATCTAGGATCATTAAAACTCATGGGAGTGGAGTGGCCAGAGGATCTTGTAAGAAGGATAACATCCAGCATTCAGTGCTTTAGTAGCCAGAGGCTGCTAAATTCAATGCATTTAATGCTTTAGTGGCCGGAGTCTCTGGTAAGAACTGTGTTATGTTCTTAGACTTTGCAATGCAGGATTGTTTTTAGTAAAGTGTATTAATCTTATTAATATTTTGTGAGTGGAATCTTGTAGAAATTAGAGAAGGGTTAAATTTTTCATCTGGATCAAAAAGTACATAACAGAGGCAGCACATGTGGAAGTAGGAGTCGCAAGGTCAATTTGAATTTAGGAACATAAGTTCATGTGAAATTCACAGATACTTTGGGGTGAGCTCTAGGCTTGCAGGTTGTGGCATCCAGGGTTGGAGTTTGAACCAATTTTGCTTGGGTATTTGGGGTTGGAAGGCTTCTGGCTGCATTTGATTTGTATATCTTTAATCCAATGACTTTACAGTAAATTGGTCAAATCAAAGAATCCTAATAGTATACCTTTACCACTAATATATCAGAATGCTTTAAAACACATTTTGTTTTTCCTCTTGTAAATAGAGGAAAATCTGAACATAAAATGGTGAATTGATTCTTGTGAGTCATACTACATAAAAATATAAACAACAAAGGATGCCATTTGTGCTAGATACTATATGTTAGTTCAGATAACCTGTGTTCCATCCTTTCTTCCAAGAGGGGAGGTTGAAAAGTGAAAACTACATTTCCTAGATTCCCTTGCAGCTAGGGCTTTGGATATAAATTCAATTTTGCCAATTAATGTACCAGATAGAGATTTGAATCAAGTCTTATGAATCTTAAGAATTTCAGTGAATCTGATGAAGACATTTTTGTTATATACCATATTTCTTGGACTAGTTATTTTTAAAGGTTATTTTAATATATCTCAATTATGAAGCAATGAAGGAATTATTGCCCCTGAACACTCTGGAAGCTAGAGAATGAACACTAGAATTACTCTACTTTCAAGGCTCCTATCTCCACATTCAGAATAATATTATATCAGAAGTTACAATGCGTTACGCATGTATTTTTAACTAGTCTTTTGATTTCTGCTTTATAGGTGAGGACAGTTAGGCTCAGACCTATGAGAAACTTACTGAAGGTCACACAGCTAGATGCTAGTTACAAAATTTAAACCCAGGGCTTAACACTCTTCATGTTCCTGTTTCATAAACACAAACACGAGATATGTAAGTGAACAAAGCAGAACAGAGTTCCTGACCATTCAGTGCTTACATTCTATGGGGGAAGATGAAATAAATAAATGAATATAAGTGCTAGTGAGAGACAGGACTAGCTGGATTTCCTAGGCTGACTAAGAATTTCTAAGTCTAGCTGGGGAAGGTGACCACACCTACCTTTAAACACCGGGTTTGTAACTCAGCTCACACCTGACCAATCAGGTAGTAAAGAGGGTTCACTAAAATACCAATTAGGCTAAAAGCAGGAGGTAAAGAAATAGTCAAATCATGTATCTCCTGAGAGCACAGGGGGAGGGACAATGATTGGGATATAAACCCAGGCATTCCAGCAGGGAGCAGCAACCCCTTTGGGTCCCCTCCTATTGTACGAGAGCTCTGTTCACTTTATTACATCTTGCAGCTGTGCACACTCCTGTGGTCCGTGTTTGTTACCGCTTGAGCTGAGCTTTCGCTCACCGTCCACCACTGCTGTTTGCTGCCCTTGCAGACCCGCCGCTGACTTCCACCCCTCCGGATCTGGCAGGGTGTCCTTTGTTCTTCTGATCCAGCGAGGCGCCCATTGCCGCTCCCGATTGGGCTAAAGGCTCGCCATTGTTGCTGCACGGCTAAGTGCCCGGGTTTGTCCCAATCGAGCTGAACACTAGTCACTGGGTTCCACGGTTCTCTTCCATGACCCACGGCTTCTAATGGTTAGAGAACAAAAGGCCCGCCATTATCTTGGGAGCTGTAAGAACAAAGACCCGCCGGTAGCACTAGGAAGGAAAATCATGGTGAAGAGGCTGCAAAAGGACTAGGCAAGGTGTGTGTGTGTGTGTGTGTGTGTGTGTGTGTGTGTGTGTGTGTGTGTGTGAGATATGAGGTGGCAAGGAAGGGCTTCCTTAACAAGGTATCACTTCAGCAGAGAACTGAAGGCAGTGAGGGAATGAGCAATGTACACATCAGGGCAACAGCGTTCAAAGCAGAAGGGAAAGCCCAGTGGGGAGAGAATGTTCACTGTGTGGTTCCGAGAGATAGAAAATGTGAACACTATGAAAGCATACGCTTTCTTAGTTGTCTGATTTCTCCCCTTTAATTTTAGAATTATTTTCTCTTTTCTTATCTCTACCATAATCCAACCCTAACAAAGTTGAAAAATTATTTTATATCATCTTTATATATATTTAAAATTTCCTGGGCATCAGTGACCTACAATTGCATTAGTTACTTGGTCTTCCTTTCACAGTAAAACAGAAAAGTAGTCTAGAGATGTCACAGCCAGAATGTCAATTAAACATGTATTAGATTCCTAGAGCTGCTGTAACAAGTTGCCACCAACTGTGTGACATGAAACAACAGAAATTTATTCTCTAATAGTTCTGGCAGCCAAAAATCTGAAATCAAGGTGTCAGCAGAACCACGCTCCCCCTGAAGTTTCTAGGAAAGAGTCTTTCCTTGTCTCTTCCTAGCTTCCCATGCCTGCTGGCATCCTTGGCATTCTTTGGCTTTGGGAGCATCACTCCAGTCTCTGCCTGTGTCATCACATGGTCTTCCTTCAAGTGTGTCTCTTCTGTGTCTCCAAATCTCCTTCTTCTTATAAAAACACGTGTTGTTGCATTTAGGGCCCACGCTAATTGAGTATAACCTCATGTTAACTTGGTTACATCTGCAAAGACCCTATTACTAAATAAGGTCACTCACATTTATAGGTTCCAGGGGACATGAAGGTGGGGAACTCTATTTAATACAGGAGGGAAATCTCAAGTATAAACTGCCTTTCAGTTAAATGGAAATTCAATTCTATTCAACCCAATACAGGAGGGAAATTCTATTCAACCCAATACAGGAGGGAAATCTTAAACTGCCTTTCAGTTAAATGGAAATTATCTTTTTCATCCCATCCCCAGCCTCAAACACATAAATTGATTCACTTAAAGTCTTTCGTCTATAGCAAGAGTCAGCAAACTTTTTCCATACAGGGCCAGATAGTAAATATCTTAGATCTTGGGGGCCTTTAACTCTGCTGTTGAAGTGTGAAAGCAGCCACAGACAATACGTACACACATGAGCAAGGCTGTTTTCTAATAAAACTTTATTTGCAAAACAGGCTGCAGGCTAGATTTGGCTTTGGGCTTCAGTTTGCCAACTCCTGATGTATACTACTGAGAAATTGCTTAAAAAAAAAAAGAAATACATACAGCTACCTAAATTCCTCTGAACTTTAGTAAAGAGTCCAGTAAAACTTTGGTTTAATTGTAGATCAGAAGAACATGAAATGTATAACTTTTCCAAGAAATTAAATTTACTGATTTGAATAACTCTTGCCTTTCCTTTTCTATCTCAGCTATTGAAGAGCACTAAAATGGGAGAAAAGAGAAAGGAGAAGTTTAGGTGTGCCAGGCATATTGGAGTTAAAGTGCTAGCTGAATATTACTGTGAACAGAATGTGGTTTGTAGCATTTTACAATGAAATAAACGTTGAAGTCATTCCAGGAAATACTGTAACAGTCATACGGGGTAAGCAAGTAGTGCCAATTTAGTCAAGTAAAAATAGTGCACTGGAGTACAATTTAATATGTTATGGAAGATATTCATGAACTTGGAAGTCTGGTTGTGACCATGACATTAGACCCCAGAGAAACCTAAGGGACTTGACTCAATACTTGAAAAGATGGAAAAGAGCAGGATTGCCTTCATGAATAATCAGCACTCCTATTGATTGCGCTATCTAGTACATTGTAAGAAATACTGACACAAAACAAAGTAGAGATACTTAAACAGCATTCAACAATGAGAATGGTACTTTACCTTTGGAGAATGACACACCACTGAATGGCCTGAAGTGAGATGGCACTAGTGGGATATGTGTAAGGGGAAGGCAGCAGAAAGGGGAGAAATCCATGATTTAACCCTCCTTGCCTACTCTGCAGACTGCTATAAAACTATGGTACCCCAAGAGTCTAGCAAAAAGTGGAATTTAGGAGAAAGGAAGTCTTCAAGATCCAGGGACATTCTCCTCATGGCAGCAGCAGCCTCAGTGAGGGGATGTATGCCCCTTTGAGATCATCTTTTTGTCTGGCTGATCCTGAGACTCTCGTGAGGACAAATGAAGACAGATGGCAGCTTTACATACATCCTCATTTCAAAGTGATGTAGAGTATATAGATGATATCATTGCCAGGTCTGATTTAGAAAATTCAAATGGGGCTATTTTCTCTCTCTTTCTCTCTGTCTCTCTGTCTCTCTCTCTTTTTGAGTCAAGGTTTCACTTGGTCGCCCAGGCTGGAGGGCAGTGGTGTGATCATGGCTCACTGCAGCCTCAACCTCCTAAGCTCAAGTGATCCTCCCACTTCAGCCTCCCCAGTAGCTGGAACTACAGGTGCATACCTCCACACCTGGTTAATTTTTGTATTTTTGGTAGAGATGGGGTTTCGCCATGTTGTCCAGGCCAGTCTCGAGCCCCTGGGCTCAAGCAATCTTCCCACCTCAGCCTCCCAAAGTGATGGGATTACAGGTGTGAACCACTGTGCCTGACCAGATGAGGCTATTCTCTAGTGGTAGACATTACTTGTCAGTGGAGCTGAGAGTTCTTCTCACTCCATGGAATATGCTAGCTGGCTTGTGAAAATATTTTCCATCTGGGCTTCCTCCCACTGATAAGTAATGTGAGCCTTGAACTGAATATATGTGATTAGTGCTTGGGGCTGAGAATAAAGTCATTACTTGTGTATTAGAACTGGAAGTATGCATCAGAACATGGAAAAAGGCAAATAATCTTGCTCTTAGTGTTCGATTAGTAAAATGACACAGATAACTCATGATGAATGAATATGTTAAAGAGAAGTGCAAAAGTATCATAGGAAGAATGACAAGGACTGGAAATCTAATCGAATCCAGATGGAATGTGATAAAAAGTGGTTCCCTAATTATTGTTACTGTTACATCTGGAGGACTACTCTTGGAACAAGAAGGATAGGAGAAGTAAGTCAGAGACAAGAAGGAAGACTGAAGAATAAGGAACTGTGTGGGTATCACCAGCTCAGCCCATTAGCAAGGGTAGGAGCATTCCCACCCATAGGCTGGCATACTGACATAGCATTACTGTTATGAAATCTATTAATTGTGCTAAGTACTTTATGTCATAACATCATTCAATCCTGGCAAAACCTCAGGTGATTATTATCATCCCCACATTACACTTGGGTTGGCCATGCCTCAGCAAGGTTAAATGATATAACTGCTACCTTACAGCTAGTCAGTGGCAGAGCCGGGGCTTCAGCCAAGTTTGTCTGAAATGAAAGAGCATGCCCTTGGCTCCTTGTTCTATTGCCTGTTACATACGTTTCCCTCCTGGAGGTGGGATATTGGGCCATCACTGATTGATCCCACTAGCATTTCACACCATTCAACTCACATATTTGGCTTTTTACTCTGCACTTGTCAGCTGTATTGGTTGGGGCAGATCAAACTGCTGTACCAAATAAACCCAAAAGCTTAATGCCTCAAACACAACAGAAGATGTCACACGTTTAGTACAGTAGTACAGTGCCCACCCCAATAAATATTAGCTATTTATTATTACATACCTGGCACACTTTCCTAAAGATACCTCTG